>NC_000015.10:18052000-18341758 GCF_000001405.40 Homo sapiens
CAGAGTTGAACATTTGTTTAGATTTAGCAGTGTTGAGACAATCTTTCCGTAGAATCTTGAAGTGAATATTTGGAGGGCTTTGAGACCTGCTTTGGAGAAGGAGATATCCTCATATAAAAACTACACAGAAGCTTTCTGAGAAACACCCTTGTGAGGTGTGCATTGAAGTCACAGAGTTAAACCTATCTTTTGATTCAGCAGATTTGAATCTCTCTTTTTGCAGAATCTGCGAGTGGATATTTGGAGTGCTTGGAAGCCTGCTGTGGAAAATCAAATATCTTCACAAAAAAAACTACACAGAAGCATTCTGAGAAACTTCTTTGTGATGTGTGCATTGATCTCACAGAGTTGAAAGTTTATTTTGATTGAGCTGTTTTGAAACACTCTTTTTCTAGAATCTGCAAGTGGATAATTGGGGAGATTTGAGGCATATTGTGGAAAAGCCAATATCTTCATATAGAAACTATACAGAAACCTTCTGAGAAACATCTTTGTGATGTGTGCATTCAGCTCACAGAGCTGGACCTAACTTTTGAGTGACCAGTTTTGAATCTCTCTTTTTGTACAATATGCAAGTGGATATTTGGAGCGATTTGAGGCCTACATTTGAAAATCAAATATCTTCCCTTAAAAACTACACAGAAACATTCTCAGAAATTGTTTGTCATGTGTGCTTTCCAATTACCAAGTTGAACCTATCTTGTGATTGAGCAGTTTTGAATCTCTCTTTTTGTGGAATCGGCAAGTGGATATTTTTAGCCCTTTGCGGACTGTGGTGGAAAAGGAATTATCTTCAAATCAATTCTACACAGAAGCATTCAGACAAACTTCTTTGTGATGAGTGCATTGGTCACACAGAATTGAACCTTCCCTTTGATTGAGCAATTATGAAACACTCTTTTGGAGGGTCTGCAAGTGGATATTTTAGAGCTTTGGGACAACTGTGGAAAAGTAAATATCTTCACATAAAAACTACACGGAAGCATTCTGAGAAACTTCTTTGGAGGTGTGCATTCAACTCACAGAGTTGAACCTATCTTTTCATTGAGCAGTTTTGAATCTCTCATTTTGTAGACTCTGCTCGCAGATATTTGGAGAGCTTTGAGGCCTATTGTGGAAAAGGAAATATCTTCACATAAAAACACACAGAAGCACTCTGAGAAACTTCTTTGTGAGGTGTGCTTTCAACTCACAGAGTTGAACCTATCTTTTGATTGAGAAGTTTTGAATCTCTCTTTTTGTAGAAGCTGCATGTGGATATTTGGAGACGTTTGTGGCCTATGGTAGAAAAGGAAATATCTTCAAATAAAAACTAGACAGACGCATTTTGAGAAAATTCTCTGTGCTGTGTGCATTCATATCACATGGTTGAAACTACCTTTGGATTGAGCAGTTTTGAATCTCACTTTTTGTACCATCTGCAATGGATATTTGGAGCCCTTTCTGGTCTGTGGTGGAAAAGGAACTATCCTCAAATAGAAACTACACAGAAGTACTCTGAGAAACTTCTTTGTGATGTGGGCATTCATCTCACAGAGTTGAACCTTTGGTTTGATTGAGCAGTTTTGAGACAATCTTTCCATAGAATCTGGAAGTGAATATTTGGAGAACTTTGAGATCCATTTTGGAGAAGGAGATATCTTTATATAAAAACTACACAGAAGCATTCTGAGAAACATCCTTGTGAGGTGTGCACTGAAGTCACAGAGTTGAAACTGTCTTTTGATTCAGCAGTTTTGAATCTCTCTTTTTGCAGAATCTGTGAGTGGATATTTGGAGCGCTTTGAGGCCTACTGTGGAAAACCAAATATCTTCACATAAAAACTACACAGAAGCATCCTGAGAAACTTTTTTTGTGATGTGGTCTTTCAGCTAATGGAGTAGAAACTATCTTTTGATTGAGCAGTTTTGAATCTCTCTTTTTGCAGGATCTACGAGTGGATAATTGGAGAACTTTGAGGCGTACTGTGGAAAGTCGAATATCTTCGCATAAAAACTACACAGAAGCATTCTGAGAAACTTCTCTGTCATACGTACATTCATCTCACAGGGTTGATCCTATTTCATGATGGAGCAGTTTTGGAACACTCTTTTTGTAGAATCTGCAAGTGAATATTTGGAGCTCTTTGGGGCCTACTGTGGAAAAACAAATATCTTCACATAAAAACTACACAGAAGCATTCTGAGAAACTACTTTGTGATGTGTGCATTCATCCCACAGAGTAGAACCTTTCTTTTGATTGAGCAGTTTCGAAACACTCTTTTGGTGGAATCTGCAAGTGGACATTTGGAAAGCTTTGAGGCCTATTGTGGAAAGGGAAATATCTTCAAATAAAAACCACCCAGAAGTACTCTGTGAAACTTCTTTGCGATGTATGCATTCAACTCACAGTGTTGAACCTATGTTTTGATTGAGCAGTTTGGAATCTCTCTTTCTGTAGAATCTGCAAGTGAATATTTGGAGCCCTATTTCGCCCTATACTGGAAAAGCAATTATCTTCAAATAAAAACTGCACAGAAGCACTCAGAGAAACTTCTTTGTGATGAATGCATTCATCACACAGAGTTGAACCTTTGTTTTGATTTAGCAGTTTGAGACAATCTTTCCGTAGAATCTTGAAGTGAATATTTGGAGGGCTTGGAGTTCTGTTTTAGAGAAGAAGATATCTTCATCAAAAACTACACAGAAGCTTTCTGAGAAACTTCTTTGTGATGTGTGCATTCAACTATCGGAGTTGAACCTATCTTATGATTGAGCAGTTTGGAAACACTCTTTGTGGAGTCTGCAAGTGGATATTTACAGAGATTTGAGGCCTATTGTGGAAAAGGAAGTATCTTCACATAAAAACCACACAGAAGCACTCTGAAAAACATCTTTGGGATGTGTGCATTCAACTAACCGTGTTGAAACAATGTTTTGATTGAGCAGCTTAGAATCTCTCTTTTTGTAGGAAATGCAAGTGGATATTTGGAGCCCCATTTCGCCCTATGGTGGAAAACGAAACATACTCACAAAAAAGCTGCAGAGAAGCATTCTGAGAAACTTCTTTGCGATGTTGGCATTCAACTCACAGAGTCGAATCTATCTTTTGATAGAGCAGTTTTGTATCTCTCTTTTTGCAGAATCTGCAAGTGGATATTTGGAAAGCTTTGAGGCCTATTGTGGAAAGGGAAATATCCTCAAATAAAAACTACCCAGAAGCACTCTGTGAAACTTCTTTGTGATGTGTGCATTCAACTCACAGTGTTGAACCTATGTTTTGATTGAGCAGTTTGGAATCTCTCCTTTTGTAGAATCTGCAAGTGAATATTTGGAGCCCTATTTCGCCCTATACTGGAAAAGCAAATATCTTCAAATAAAAACTACACAGAGGCATTCAGAGAAACTTCTCTGTGATGAGTGCATTCATCACACAGAGTTGAACATTTGTTTAGATTTAGCAGTGTTGAGACAATCTTTCCGTAGAATCTTGAAGTGAATATTTGGAGGGCTTTGAGACCTGCTTTGGAGAAGGAGATATCCTCATATAAAAACTACACAGAAGCTTTCTGAGAAACACCCTTGTGAGGTGTGCATTGAAGTCACAGAGTTAAACCTATCTTTTGATTCAGCAGATTTGAATCTCTCTTTTTGCAGAATCTGCGAGTGGATATTTGGAGTGCTTGGAAGCCTGCTGTGGAAAATCAAATATCTTCACAAAAAAAACTACACTGAAGCATTCTGAGAAACTTCTTTGTGATGTGTGCATTGATCTCACAGAGTTGAAAGTTTATTTTGATTGAGCTGTTTTGAAACACTCTTTTTCTAGAATCTGCAAGTGGATAATTGGGGAGATTTGAGGCATATTGTGGAAAAGCAAATATCTTCATATAGAAACTATACAGAAACCTTCTGAGAAACATCTTTGTGATGTGTGCATTCAGCTCACAGAGCTGGACCTAACTTTTGAGTGACCAGTTTTGAATCTCTCTTTCTGTACAATATGCAAGTGGATATTTGGAGCGATTTGAGGCCTACATTTGAAAATCAAATATCTTCCCTTAAAAACTACACAGAAACATTCTCAGAAATTGTTTGTCATGTGTGCTTTCCAATTACCAAGTTGAACGTATCTTGTGATTGAGCAGTTTTGAATCTCTCTTTTTGTGGAATCGGCAAGTGGATATTTTTAGCCCTTTGCGGACTGTGGTGGAAAAGGAATTATCTTCAAATCAATTCTACACAGAAGCATTCAGACAAACTTCTTTGTGATGAGTGCATTGGTCACACAGAATTGAACCTTCCCTTTGATTGAGCAATTCTGAAACACTCTTTTGGAGGGTCTGCAAGTGGACATTTTAGAGCTTTGGGACAACTGTGGAAAAGTAAATATCTTCACATAAAAACTACACGGAAGCATTCTGAGAAACTTCTTTGGAGGTGTGCATTCAACTCACAGAGTTGAACCTATCTTTTCATTGAGCAGTTTTGAATCTCTCATTTTGTAGACTCTGCTCGCAGATATTTGGAGAGCTTTGAGGCCTATTGTGGAAAAGGAAATATCTTCACATAAAAACACACAGAAGCACTCTGAGAAACTTCTCTGTGAGGTGTGCTTTCAACTCACAGAGTTGAACCTATCTTTTGATTGAGAAGTTTTGAATCTCTCTTTTTGTAGAAGCTGCATGTGGATATTTGGAGACGTTTGTGGCCTATGGTAGAAAAGGAAATATCTTCAAATAAAAACTAGACAGACGCATTTTGAGAAAATTCTCTGTGCTGTGTGCATTCATATCACATGGTTGAAACTACCTTTGGATTGAGCAGTTTTGAATCTCACTTTTTGTACCATCTGCAATGGATATTTGGAGCCCTTTCTGGTCTGTGGTGGAAAAGGAACTATCCTCAAATAGAAACTACACAGAAGTACTCTGAGAAACTTCTTTGTGATGTGGGCATTCATCTCACAGAGTTGAACCTTTGGTTTGATTGAGCAGTTTTGAGACAATCTTTCCATAGAATCTGGAAGTGAATATTTGGAGAACTTTGAGATCCATTTTGGAGAAGGAGATACCTTTATATGAAAACTACACAGAAGCATTCTGAGAAACATCCTTGTGAGGTGTGCACTGAAGTCACAGAGTTGAAACTGTCTTTTGATTCAGCAGTTTTGAATCTCTCTTTTTGCAGAGTCTGTGAGCGGATATTTGGAGCGCTTTGAGGCCTACTGTGGAAAACCAAATATGTTCACATAAAAACTACACAGAAGCATCCTGAGAAACTTTTTTTGTGATGTGGTCTTTCAGCTAATGGAGTAGAAACTATCTTTTGATTGAGCAGTTTTGAATCTCTCTTTTTGCAGAATCTACGAGTGGATAATTGGAGAACTTTGAGGCGTACTGTGGAAAATCGAATATCTTCGCATAAAAACTACACAGAAGCATTCTGAGAAACTTCTCTGTCATACGTACATTCATCTCACAGGGTTGATCCTATTTCATGATTGAGCAGTTTTGGAACACTCTTTTTGTAGAATCTGCAAGTGAATATTTGGAGCTCCTTGGGGCCTACTGTGGAAAAACAAATATCTTCACATAAAAACTACACAGAAGCATTCTGAGAAACTACTTTGTGATGTGTGCATTCATCCCACAGAGTAGAACCTTTCTTTTGATTGAGCAGTTTCGAAACACTCTTTTGGTGGAATCTGCAAGTGGACATTTGGAAAGCTTTGAGGCCTATTGTGGAAAGGGAAATATCTTCAAATAAAAACCACCCAGAAGTACTCTGTGAAACTTCTTTGCGATGTATGCATTCAACTCACAGTGTTGAACCTATGTTTTGATTGAGCAGTTTGGAATCTCTCTTTCTGTAGAATCTGCAAGTGAATATTTGGAGCCCTATTTCGCCCTATACTGGAAAAGCAATTATCTTCAAATAAAAACTGCACAGAAGCATTCAGAGAAACTTCTTTGAGATGAATGCATTCATGACACAGAGTTGAAACTTTGTTTTGATTTAGGAGTTTTGAGACAATCTTTCCGTAGAATCTTGAAGTGAATATTTGGAGGGCTTGGAGTTCTGTTTTAGAGAAGAAGATATCTTCATCAAAAACTACACAGAAGCTTTCTGAGAAACTTCTTTGTGATGTGTGCATTCAACTATCGGAGTTGAACCTATCTTATGATTGAGCAGTTTGGAAACACTCTTTGTAGAGTCTGCAAGTGGATATTTACAGAGATTTGAGGCCTATTGTGGAAAAGGAAGTATCTTCACATAAAAACCACACAGAAGCACTCTGAAAAACATCTTTGGGATGTGTGCATTCAACTAACCGTGTTGAAACAATGTTTTGATTGAGCAGCTTAGAATCTCTCTTTTTGTAGGAAATGCAAGTGGATATTTGGAGCCCCATTTCGCCCTATGGTGGAAAACGAAACATACTCACAAAAAAGCTGCAGAGAAGCATTCTGAGAAACTTCTTTGCGATGTTGGCATTCAACTCACAGAGTCGAATCTATCTTTTGATAGAGCAGTTTTGTATCTCTCTTTTTGCAGAATCTGCAAGTGGATATTTGGAAAGCTTTGAGGCCTATTGTGGAAAGGGAAATATCCTCAAATAAAAACTACCCAGAAGCACTCTGTGAAACTTCTTTGTGATGTGTGCATTCAACTCACAGTGTTGAACCTATGTTTTGATTGAGCAGTTTGGAATCTCTCCTTTTGTAGAATCTGCAAGTGAATATTTGGAGCCCTATTTCGCCCTATACTGGAAAAGCAAATATCTTCAAATAAAAACTACACAGAGGCATTCAGAGAAACTTCTCTGTGATGAGTGCATTCATCACACAGAGTTGAACATTTGTTTAGATTTAGCAGTGTTGAGACAATCTTTCCGTAGAATCTTGAAGTGAATATTTGGAGGGCTTTGAGACCTGCTTTGGAGAAGGAGATATCTTCATATAAAAACTACACAGAAGCTTTCTGAGAAACACCCTTGTGAGGTGTGCATTGAAGTCACAGAGTTAAACCTATCTTTTGATTCAGCAGATTTGAATCTCTCTTTTTGCAGAATCTGCGAGTGGATATTTGGAGTGCTTGGAAGCCTGCTGTGGAAAATCAAATATCTTCACAAAAAAAACTACACAGAAGCATTCTGATAAACTTCTTTGTGATGTGTGCATTGATCTCACAGAGTTGAAAGTTTATTTTGATTGAGCTGTTTTGAAACACTCTTTTTCTAGAATCTGCAAGTGGATAATTGGGGAGATTTGAGGCATATTGTGGAAAAGCAAATATCTTCATATAAAAACTATACAGAAACCTTCTGAGAAACATCTTTGTGATGTGTGCATTCAGCTCACAGAGCTGGACCTAACTTTTGAGTGACCAGTTTTGAATCTCTCTTTTTGTACAATATGCAAGTGGATATTTGGAGCGATTTGAGGCCTACATTTGAAAATCAAATATCTTCCCTTAAAAACTACACAGAAACATTCTCAGAAATTGTTTGTCATGTGTGCTTTCCAATTACCAAGTTGAACCTATCTTGTGATTGAGCAGTTTTGAATCTCTCTTTTTGTGGAATCGGCAAGTGGATATTTTTAGCCCTTTGCGGACTGTGGTGGAAAAGGAATTATCTTCAAATCAATTCTACACAGGAAGCATTCAGACAAACTTCTTTGTGATGAGTGCATTGGTCACACAGAATTGAACCTTCCCTTTGATTGAGCAATTCTGAAACACTCTTTTGGAGGGTCTGCAAGTGGACATTTTAGAGCTTTGGGACAACTGTGGAAAAGTAAATATCTTCACATAAAAACTACACGGAAGCATTCTGAGAAACTTCTTTGGAGGTGTGCATTCAACTCACAGAGTTGAACCTATCTTTTCATTGAGCAGTTTTGAATCTCTCATTTTGTAGACTCTGCTCGCAGATATTTGGAGAGCTTTGAGGCCTATTGTGGAAAAGGAAATATCTTCACATAAAAACACACAGAAGCACTCTGAGAAACTTCTCTGTGAGGTGTGCTTTCAACTCACAGAGTTGAACCTATCTTTTGATTGAGAAGTTTTGAATCTCTCTTTTTGTAGAAGCTGCATGTGGATATTTGGAGACGTTTGTGGCCTATGGTAGAAAAGGAAATATCTTCAAATAAAAACTAGACAGACGCATTTTGAGAAAATTCTCTGTGCTGTGTGCATTCATATCACATGGTTGAAACTACCTTTGGATTGAGCAGTTTTGAATCTCACTTTTTGTACCATCTGCAATGGATATTTGGAGCCCTTTCTGGTCTGTGGTGGAAAAGGAACTATCCTCAAATAGAAACTACACAGAAGTACTCTGAGAAACTTCTTTGTGATGTGGGCATTCATCTCACAGAGTTGAACCTTTGGTTTGATTGAGCAGTTTTGAGACAATCTTTCCATAGAATCTGGAAGTGAATATTTGGAGAACTTTGAGATCCATTTTGGAGAAGGAGATATCTTTATATAAAAACTACACAGAAGCATTCTGAGAAACATCCTTGTGAGGTGTGCACTGAAGTCACAGAGTTGAAACTGTCTTTTGATTCAGCAGTTTTGAATCTCTCTTTTTGCAGAATCTGTGAGTGGATATTTGGAGCGCTTTGAGGCCTACTGTGGAAAACCAAATATCTTCACATAAAAACTACACAGAAGCATCCTGAGAAACTTTTTTTGTGATGTGGTCTTTCAGCTAATGGAGTAGAAACTATCTTTTGATTGAGCAGTTTTGAATCTCTCTTTTTGCGGGATCTACGAGTGGATAATTGGAGAACTTTGAGGCGTACTGTGGAAAGTCGAATATCTTCGCATAAAAACTACACAGAAGCATTCTGAGAAACTTCTCTGTCATACGTACATTCATCTCACAGGGTTGATCCTATTTCATGATTGAGCAGTTTCGGAACACTCTTTTTGTAGAATCTGCAAGTGAATATTTGGAGCTCTTTGGGGCCTACTGTGGAAAAACAAATATCTTCACATAAAAACTACACAGAAGCATTCTGAGAAACTACTTTGTGATGTGTGCATTCATCCCACAGAGTAGAACCTTTCTTTTGATTGAGCAGTTTCGAAACACTCTTTTGGTGGAATCTGCAAGTGGACATTTGGAAAGCTTTGAGGCCTATTGTGGAAAGGGAAATATCTTCAAATAAAAACCACCCAGAAGTACTCTGTGAAACTTCTTTGCGATGTATGCATTCAACTCACAGTGTTGAACCTATGTTTTGATTGAGCAGTTTGGAATCTCTCTTTCTGTAGAATCTGCAAGTGAATATTTGGAGCCCTATTTCGCCCTATACTGGAAAAGCAATTATCTTCAAATAAAAACTGCACAGAAGCATTCAGAGAAACTTCTTTGAGATGAATGCATTCATGACACAGAGTTGAAACTTTGTTTTGATTTAGGAGTTTTGAGACAATCTTTCCGTAGAATCTTGAAGTGAATATTTGGAGGGCTTGGAGTTCTGTTTTAGAGAAGAAGATATCTTCATCAAAAACTACACAGAAGCTTTCTGAGAAACTTCTTTGTGATGTGTGCATTCAACTATCGGAGTTGAACCTATCTTATGATTGAGCAGTTTGGAAACACTCTTTGTAGAGTCTGCAAGTGGATATTTACAGAGATTTGAGGCCTATTGTGGAAAAGGAAGTATCTTCACATAAAAACCACACAGAAGCACTCTGAGAAACATCTTTGGGATGTGTGCATTCAACTAACCGTGTTGAAACAATGTTTTGATTGAGCAGCTTAGAATCTCTCTTTTTGTAGGAAATGCAAGTGGATATTTGGAGCCCCATTTCGCCCTATGGTGGAAAACGAAACATACTCACAAAAAAGCTGCAGAGAAGCATTCTGAGAAACTTCTTTGCGATGTTGGCATTCAACTCACAGAGTCGAATCTATCTTTTGATAGAGCAGTTTTGTATCTCTCTTTTTGCAGAATCTGCAAGTGGATATTTGGAAAGCTTTGAGGCCTATTGTGGAAAGGGAAATATCCTCAAATAAAAACTACCCAGAAGCACTCTGTGAAACTTCTTTGTGATGTGTGCATTCAACTCACAGTGTTGAACCTATGTTTTGATTGAGCAGTTTGGAATCTCTCCTTTTGTAGAATCTGCAAGTGAATATTTGGAGCCCTATTTCGCCCTATACTGGAAAAGCAAATATCTTCAAATAAAAACTACACAGAGGCATTCAGAGAAACTTCTCTGTGATGAGTGCATTCATCACACAGAGTTGAACATTTGTTTAGATTTAGCAGTGTTGAGACAATCTTTCCGTAGAATCTTGAAGTGAATATTTGGAGGGCTTTGAGACCTGCTTTGGAGAAGGAGATATCTTCATATAAAAACTACACAGAAGCTTTCTGAGAAACACCCTTGTGAGGTGTGCATTGAAGTCACAGAGTTAAACCTATCTTTTGATTCAGCAGATTTGAATCTCTCTTTTTGCAGAATCTGCGAGTGGATATTTGGAGTGCTTGGAAGCCTGCTGTGGAAAATCAAATATCTTCACAAAAAAAACTACACAGAAGCATTCTGAGAAACTTCTTTGTGATGTGTGCATTGATCTCACAGAGTTGAAAGTTTATTTTGATTGAGCTGTTTTGAAACACTCTTTTTCTAGAATCTGCAAGTGGATAATTGGGGAGATTTGAGGCATATTGTGGAAAAGCAAATATCTTCATATAGAAACTATACAGAAACCTTCTGAGAAACATCTTTGTGATGTGTGCATTCAGCTCACAGAGCTGGACCTAACTTTTGAGTGACCAGTTTTGAATCTCTCTTTTTGTACAATATGCAAGTGGATATTTGGAGCGATTTGAGGCCTACATTTGAAAATCAAATATCTTCCCTTAAAACTACACAGAAACATTCTCAGAAATTGTTTGTCATGTGTGCTTTCCAATTACCAAGTTGAACCTATCTTGTGATTGAGCAGTTTTGAATCTCTCTTTTTGTGGAATCGGCAAGTGGATATTTTTAGCCCTTTGCGGACTGTGGTGGAAAAGGAATTATCTTCAAATCAATTCTACACAGAAGCATTCAGACAAACTTCTTTGTGATGAGTGCATTGGTCACAAAGAATTGAACCTTCCCTTTGATTGAGCAATTCTGAAACACTCTTTTGGAGGGTCTGCAAGTGGATATTTTAGAGCTTTGGGACAACTGTGGAAAAGTAAATATCTTCACATAAAAACTACACGGAAGCATTCTGAGAAACTTCTTTGGAGGTGTGCATTCAACTCACAGAGTTGAACCTATCTTTTCATTGAGCAGTTTTGAATCTCTCATTTTGTAGACTCTGCTCGCAGATATTTGGAGAGCTTTGAGGCCTATTGTGGAAAAGGAAATATCTTCACATAAAAACACACAGAAGCACTCTGAGAAACTTCTTTGTGAGGTGTGCTTTCAACTCACAGAGTTGAACCTATCTTTTGATTGAGAAGTTTTGAATCTCTCTTTTTGTAGAAGCTGCATGTGGATATTTGGAGACGTTTGTGGCCTATGGTAGAAAAGGAAATATCTTCAAATAAAAACTAGACAGACGCATTTTGAGAAAATTCTCTGTGCTGTGTGCATTCATATCACATGGTTGAAACTACCTTTGGATTGAGCAGTTTTGAATCTCACTTTTTGTACCATCTGCAATGGATATTTGGAGCCCTTTCTGGTCTGTGGTGGAAAAGGAACTATCCTCAAATAGAAACTACACAGAAGTACTCTGAGAAACTTCTTTGTGATGTGGGCATTCATCTCACAGAGTTGAACCTTTGGTTTGATTGAGCAGTTTTGAGACAATCTTTCCATAGAATCTGGAAGTGAATATTTGGAGAACTTTGAGATCCATTTTGGAGAAGGAGATATCTTTATATAAAAACTCCACAGAAGCATTCTGAGAAACATCCTTGTGAGGTGTGCACTGAAGTCACAGAGTTGAAACTGTCTTTTGATTCAGCAGTTTTGAATCTCTCTTTTTGCAGAATCTGTGAGTGGATATTTGGAGCGCTTTGAGGCCTACTGTGGAAAACCAAATATCTTCACATAAAAACTACACAGAAGCATCCTGAGAAACTTTTTTTGTGATGTGGTCTTTCAGCTAATGGAGTAGAAACTATCTTTTGATTGAGCAGTTTTGAATCTCTCTTTTTGCAGGATCTACGAGTGGATAATTGGAGAACTTTGAGGCGTACTGTGGAAAGTCGAATATCTTCGCATAAAAA
This sequence comes from Homo sapiens, assembly GCF_000001405.40. Taxonomy (NCBI): domain Eukaryota; kingdom Metazoa; phylum Chordata; class Mammalia; order Primates; family Hominidae; genus Homo; species Homo sapiens. Next base: position 18,064,241 of record NC_000015.10, read on the forward strand.
CTACACAGAAGCATTCTGAGAAACTTCTCTGTCATACGTACATTCATCTCACAGGGTTGATCCTATTTCATGATTGAGCAGTTTTGGAACACTCTTTTTGTAGAATCTGCAAGTGAATATTTGGAGCTCTTTGGGGCCTACTGTGGAAAAACAAATATCTTCACATAAAAACTACACAGAAGCATTCTGAGAAACTACTTTGTGATGTGTGCATTCATCCCACAGAGTAGAACCTTTCTTTTGATTGAGCAGTTTCGAAACACTCTTTTGGTGGAATCTGCAAGTGGACATTTGGAAAGCTTTGAGGCCTATTGTGGAAAGGGAAATATCTTCAAATAAAAACCACCCAGAAGTACTCTGTGAAACTTCTTTGCGATGTATGCATTCAACTCACAGTGTTGAACCTATGTTTTGATTGAGCAGTTTGGAATCTCTCTTTCTGTAGAATCTGCAAGTGAATATTTGGAGCCCTATTTCGCCCTATACTGGAAAAGCAATTATCTTCAAATAAAAACTGCACAGAAGCACTCAGAGAAACTTCTTTGTGATGAATGCATTCATCACACAGAGTTGAACCTTTGTTTTGATTTAGCAGTTTGAGACAATCTTTCCGTAGAATCTTGAAGTGAATATTTGGAGGGCTTGGAGTTCTGTTTTAGAGAAGAAGATATCTTCATCAAAAACTACACAGAAGCTTTCTGAGAAACTTCTTTGTGATGTGTGCATTCAACTATCGGAGTTGAACCTATCTTATGATTGAGCAGTTTGGAAACACTCTTTGTAGAGTCTGCAAGTGGATATTTACAGAGATTTGAGGCCTATTGTGGAAAAGGAAGTATCTTCACATAAAAACCACAGAGAAGCACTCTGAAAAACATCTTTGGGATGTGTGCATTCAACTAACCGTGTTGAAACAATGTTTTGATTGAGCAGCTTAGAATCTCTCTTTTTGTAGGAAATGCAAGTGGATATTTGGAGCCCCATTTCGCCCTATGGTGGAAAACGAAACATACTCACAAAAAAGCTGCAGAGAAGCATTCTGAGAAACTTCTTTGCGATGTTGGCATTCAACTCACAGTAGTCGAATCTATCTTTTGATAGAGCAGTTTTGTATCTCTCTTTTTGCAGAATCTGCAAGTGGATATTTGGAAAGCTTTGAGGCCTATTGTGGAAAGGGAAATATCCTCAAATAAAAACTACCCAGAAGCACTCTGTGAAACTTCTTTGTGATGTGTGCATTCAACTCACAGTGTTGAACCTATGTTTTGATTGAGCAGTTTGGAATCTCTCCTTTTGTAGAATCTGCAAGTGAATATTTGGAGCCCTATTTCGCCCTATACTGGAAAAGCAAATATCTTCAAATAAAAACTACACAGAGGCATTCAGAGAAACTTCTCTGTGATGAGTGCATTCATCACACAGAGTTGAACATTTGTTTAGATTTAGCAGTGTTGAGACAATCTTTCCGTAGAATCTTGAAGTGAATATTTGGAGGGCTTTGAGACCTGCTTTGGAGAAGGAGATATCTTCATATAAAAACTACACAGAAGCTTTCTGAGAAACACCCTTGTGAGGTGTGCATTGAAGTCACAGAGTTAAACCTATCTTTTGATTCAGCAGATTTGAATCTCTCTTTTTGCAGTATCTGCGAGTGGATATTTGGAGTTCTTGGAAGCCTGCTGTGGAAAATCAAATATCTTCACAAAAAAAACTACACAGAAGCATTCTGAGAAACTTCTTTGTGATGTGTGCATTGATCTCACAGAGTTGAAAGTTTATTTTGATTGAGCTGTTTTGAAACACTCTTTTTCTAGAATCTGCAAGTGGATAATTGGGGAGATTTGAGGCATATTGTGGAAAAGCAAATATCTTCATATAGAAACTATACAGAAACCTTCTGAGAAACATCTTTGTGATGTGTGCATTCAGCTCACAGAGCTGGACCTAACTTTTGAGTGACCAGTTTTGAATCTCTCTTTTTGTACAATATGCAAGTGGATATTTGGAGCGATTTGAGGCCTACATTTGAAAATCAAATATCTTCCCTTAAAAACTACACAGAAACATTCTCAGAAATTGTTTGTCATGTGTGCTTTCCAATTACCAAGTTGAACCTATCTTGTGATTGAGCAGTTTTGAATCTCTCTTTTTGTGGAATCGGCAAGTGGATATTTTTAGCCCTTTGCGGACTGTGGTGGAAAAGGAATTATCTTCAAATCAATTCTACACAGAAGCATTCAGACAAACTTCTTTGTGATGAGTGCATTGGTCACACAGAATTGAACCTTCCCTTTGATTGAGCAATTCTGAAACACTCTTTTGGAGGGTCTGCAAGTGGACATTTTAGAGCTTTGGGACAACTGTGGAAAAGTAAATATCTTCACATAAAAACTACACGGAAGCATTCTGAGAAACTTCTTTGGAGGTGTGCATTCAACTCACAGAGTTGAACCTATCTTTTCATTGAGCAGTTTTGAATCTCTCATTTTGTAGACTCTGCTCGCAGATATTTGGAGAGCTTTGAGGCCTATTGTGGAAAAGGAAATATCTTCACATAAAAACACACAGAAGCACTCTGAGAAACTTCTTTGTGAGGTGTGCTTTCAACTCACAGAGTTGAACCTATCTTTTGATTGAGAAGTTTTGAATCTCTCTTTTTGTAGAAGCTGCATGTGGATATTTGGAGACGTTTGTGGCCTATGGTAGAAAAGGAAATATCTTCAAATAAAAACTAGACAGACGCATTTTGAGAAAATTCTCTGTGCTGTGTGCATTCATATCACATGGTTGAAACTACCTTTGGATTGAGCAGTTTTGAATCTCACTTTTTGTACCATCTGCAATGGATATTTGGAGCCCTTTCTGGTCCTGTGGTGGAAAAGGAACTATCCTCAAATAGAAACTACACAGAAGTACTCTGAGAAACTTCTTTGTGATGTGGGCATTCATCTCACAGAGTTGAACCTTTGGTTTGATTGAGCAGTTTTGAGACAATCTTTCCATAGAATCTGGAAGTGAATATTTGGAGAACTTTGAGATCCATTTTGGAGAAGGAGATATCTTTATATAAAAACTCCACAGAAGCATTCTGAGAAACATCCTTGTGAGGTGTGCACTGAAGTCACAGAGTTGAAACTGTCTTTTGATTCAGCAGTTTTGAATCTCTCTTTTTGCAGAATCTGTGAGTGGATATTTGGAGCGCTTTGAGGCCTACTGTGGAAAACCAAATATCTTCACATAAAAACTACACAGAAGCATCCTGAGAAACTTTTTTTGTGATGTGGTCTTTCAGCTAATGGAGTAGAAACTATCTTTTGATTGAGCAGTTTTGAATCTCTCTTTTTGCAGAATCTACGAGTGGATAATTGGAGAACTTTGAGGCGTACTGTGGAAAATCGAATATCTTCGCATAAAAACTACACAGAAGCATTCTGAGAAACTTCTCTGTCATACGTACATTCATCTCACAGGGTTGATCCTATTTCATGATTGAGCAGTTTTGGAACACTCTTTTTGTAGAATCTGCAAGTGAATATTTGGAGCTCCTTGGGGCCTACTGTGGAAAAACAAATATCTTCACATAAAAACTACACAGAAGCATTCTGAGAAACTACTTTGTGATGTGTGCATTCATCCCACAGAGTAGAACCTTTCTTTTGATTGAGCAGTTTCGAAACACTCTTTTGGTGGAATCTGCAAGTGGACATTTGGAAAGCTTTGAGGCCTATTGTGGAAAGGGAAATATCTTCAAATAAAAACCACCCAGAAGTACTCTGTGAAACTTCTTTGCGATGTATGCATTCAACTCACAGTGTTGAACCTATGTTTTGATTGAGCAGTTTGGAATCTCTCTTTCTGTAGAATCTGCAAGTGAATATTTGGAGCCCTATTTCGCCCTATACTGGAAAAGCAATTATCTTCAAATAAAAACTGCACAGAAGCACTCAGAGAAACTTCTTTGTGATGAATGCATTCATCACACAGAGTTGAACCTTTGTTTTGATTTAGCAGTTTGAGACAATCTTTCCGTAGAATCTTGAAGTGAATATTTGGAGGGCTTGGAGTTCTGTTTTAGAGAAGAAGATATCTTCATCAAAAACTACACAGAAGCTTTCTGAGAAACTTCTTTGTGATGTGTGCATTCAACTATCGGAGTTGAACCTATCTTATGATTGAGGAGTTTGGAAACACTCTTTGTAGAGTCTGCAAGTGGATATTTACAGAGATTTGAGGCCTATTGTGGAAAAGGAAGTATCTTCACATAAAAACCACACAGAAGCACTCTGAAAAACATCTTTGGGATGTGTGCATTCAACTAACCGTGTTGAAACAATGTTTTGATTGAGCAGCTTAGAATCTCTCTTTTTGTAGGAAATGCAAGTGGATATTTGGAGCCCCATTTCGCCCTATGGTGGAAAACGAAACATACTCACAAAAAAGCTGCAGAGAAGCATTCTGAGAAACTTCTTTGCGATGTTGGCATTCAACTCACAGAGTCGAATCTATCTTTTGATAGAGCAGTTTTGTATCTCTCTTTTTGCAGAATCTGCAAGTGGATATTTGGAAAGCTTTGAGGCCTATTGTGGAAAGGGAAATATCCTCAAATAAAAACTACCCAGAAGCACTCTGTGAAACTTCTTTGTGATGTGTGCATTCAACTCACAGTGTTGAACCTATGTTTTGATTGAGCAGTTTGGAATCTCTCCTTTTGTAGAATCTGCAAGTGAATATTTGGAGCCCTATTTCGCCCTATACTGGAAAAGCAAATATCTTCAAATAAAAACTACACAGAGGCATTCAGAGAAACTTCTCTGTGATGAGTGCATTCATCACACAGAGTTGAACATTTGTTTAGATTTAGCAGTGTTGAGACAATCTTTCCATAGAATCTTGAAGTGAATATTTGGAGGGCTTTGAGACCTGCTTTGGAGAAGGAGATATCTTCATATAAAAACTACACAGAAGCTTTCTGAGAAACACCCTTGTGAGGTGTGCATTGAAGTCACAGAGTTAAACCTATCTTTTGATTCAGCAGATTTGAATCTCTCTTTTTGCAGAATCTGCGAGTGGATATTTGGAGTGCTTGGAAGCCTGCTGTGGAAAATCAAATATCTTCACAAAAAAAACTACACAGAAGCATTCTGAGAAACTTCTTTGTGATGTGTGCATTGATCTCACAGAGTTGAAAGTTTATTTGGATTGAGCTGTTTTGAAACACTCTTTTTCTAGAATCTGCAAGTGGATAATTGGGGAGATTTGAGGCATATTGTGGAAAAGCAAATATCTTCATATAGAAACTATACAGAAAACCTTCTGAGAAACATCTTTGTGATGTGTGCATTCAGCTCACAGAGCTGGACCTAACTTTTGAGTGACCAGTTTTGAATCTCTCTTTTTGTACAATATGCAAGTGGATATTTGGAGCGATTTGAGGCCTACATTTGAAAATCAAATATCTTCCCTTAAAAACTACACAGAAACATTCTCAGAAATTGTTTGTCATGTGTGCTTTCCAATTACCAAGTTGAACCTATCTTGTGATTGAGCAGTTTTGAATCTCTCTTTTTGTGGAATCGGCAAGTGGATATTTTTAGCCCTTTGCGGACTGTGGTGGAAAAGGAATTATCTTCAAATCAATTCTACACAGAAGCATTCAGACAAACTTCTTTGTGATGAGTGCATTGGTCACACAGAATTGAACCTTCCCTTTGATTGAGCAATTCTGAAACACTCTTTTGGAGGGTCTACAAGTGGACATTTTAGAGCTTTGGGACAACTGTGGAAAAGTAAATATCTTCACATAAAAACTGCACGGAAGCATTCTGAGAAACTTCTTTGGAGGTGTGCATTCAACTCACAGAGTTGAACCTATCTTTTCATTGAGCAGTTTTGAATCTCTCATTTTGTAGACTCTGCTCGCAGATATTTGGAGAGCTTTGAGGCCTATTGTGGAAAAGGAAATATCTTCACATAAAAACACACAGAAGCACTCTGAGAAACTTCTTTGTGAGGTGTGCTTTCAACTCACAGAGTTGAACCTATCTTTTGATTGAGAAGTTTTGAATCTCTCTTTTTGTAGAAGCTGCATGTGGATATTTGGAGACGTTTGTGGCCTATGGTAGAAAAGGAAATATCTTCAAATAAAAACTAGACAGACGCATTTTGAGAAAATTCTCTGTGCTGTGTGCATTCATATCACATGGTTGAAACTACCTTTGGATTGAGCAGTTTTGAATCTCACTTTTTGTACCATCTGCAATGGATATTTGGAGCCCTTTCTGGTCTGTGGTGGAAAAGGAACTATCCTCAAATAGAAACTACACAGAAGTACTCTGAGAAACTTCTTTGTGATGTGGGCATTCATCTCACAGAGTTGAACCTTTGGTTTGATTGAGCAGTTTTGAGACAATCTTTCCATAGAATCTGGAAGTGAATATTTGGAGAACTTTGAGATCCATTTTGGAGAAGGAGATATCTTTATATGAAAACTACACAGAAGCATTCTGAGAAACATCCTTGTGAGGTGTGCACTGAAGTCACAGAGTTGAAACTGTCTTTTGATTCAGCAGTTTTGAATCTCTCTTTTTGCAGAATCTGTGAGTGGATATTTGGAGCGCTTTGAGGCCTACTGTGGAAAACCAAATATCTTCACATAAAAACTACACAGAAGCATCCTGAGAAACTTTTTTTGTGATGTGGTCTTTCAGCTAATGGAGTAGAAACTATCTTTTGATTGAGCAGTTTTGAATCTCTCTTTTTGCAGAATCTACGAGTGGATAATTGGAGAACTTTGAGGCGTACTGTGGAAAATCGAATATCTTCGCATAAAAACTACACAGAAGCATTCTGAGAAACTTCTCTGTCATACGTACATTCATCTCACAGGGTTGATCCTATTTCATGATTGAGCAGTTTTGGAACACTCTTTTTGTAGAATCTGCAAGTGAATATTTGGAGCTCTTTGGGGCCTACTGTGGAAAAACAAATATCTTCACATAAAAACTACACAGAAGCATTCTGAGAAACTACTTTGTGATGTGTGCATTCATCCCACAGAGTAGAACCTTTCTTTTGATTGAGCAGTTTTGAAACACTCTTTTGGTGGAATCTGCAAGTGGACATTTGGAAAGCTTTGAGGCCTATTGTGGAAAGGGAAATATCTTCAAATAAAAACCACCCAGAAGTACTCTGTGAAACTTCTTTGCGATGTATGCATTCAACTCACAGTGTTGAACCTATGTTTTGATTGAGCAGTTTGGAATCTCTCTTTCTGTAGAATCTGCAAGTGAATATTTGGAGCCCTATTTCGCCCTATACTGGAAAAGCAATTATCTTCAAATAAAAACTGCACAGAAGCACTCAGAGAAACTTCTTTGTGATGAATGCATTCATCACACAGAGTTGAACCTTTGTTTTGATTTAGCAGTTTGAGACAATCTTTCCGTAGAATCTTGAAGTGAATATTTGGAGGGCTTGGAGTTCTGTTTTAGAGAAGAAGATATCTTCATCAAAAACTACACAGAAGCTTTCTGAGAAACTTCTTTGTGATGTGTGCATTCAACTATCGGAGTTGAACCTATCTTATGATTGAGCAGTTTGGAAACACTCTTTGTAGAGTCTGCAAGTGGATATTTACAGAGATTTGAGGCCTATTGTGGAAAAGGAAGTATCTTCACATAAAAACCACACAGAAGCACTCTGAAAAACATCTTTGGGATGTGTGCATTCAACTAACCGTGTTGAAACAATGTTTTGATTGAGCAGCTTAGAATCTCTCTTTTTGTAGGAAATGCAAGTGGATATTTGGAGCCCCATTTCGCCCTATGGTGGAAAACGAAACATACTCACAAAAAAGCTGCAGAGAAGCATTCTGAGAAACTTCTTTGCGATGTTGGCATTCAACTCACAGAGTCGAATCTATCTTTTGATAGAGCAGTTTTGTATCTCTCTTTTTGCAGAATCTGCAAGTGGATATTTGGAAAGCTTTGAGGCCTATTGTGGAAAGGGAAATATCCTCAAATAAAAACTACCCAGAAGCACTCTGTGAAACTTCTTTGTGATGTGTGCATTCAACTCACAGTGTTGAACCTATGTTTTGATTGAGCAGTTTGGAATCTCTCCTTTTGTAGAATCTGCAAGTGAATATTTGGAGCCCTATTTCGCCCTATACTGGAAAAGCAAATATCTTCAAATAAAAACTACACAGAGGCATTCAGAGAAACTTCTCTGTGATGAGTGCATTCATCACACAGAGTTGAACATTTGTTTAGATTTAGCAGTGTTGAGACAATCTTTCCGTAGAATCTTGAAGTGAATATTTGGAGGGCTTTGAGACCTGCTTTGGAGAAGGAGATATCTTCATATAAAAACTACACAGAAGCTTTCTGAGAAACACCCTTGTGAGGTGTGCATTGAAGTCACAGAGTTAAACCTATCTTTTGATTCAGCAGATTTGAATCTCTCTTTTTGCAGAATCTGCGAGTGGATATTTGGAGTGCTTGGAAGCCTGCTGTGGAAAATCAAATATCTTCACAAAAAAACTACACAGAAGCATTCTGAGAAACTTCTTTGTGATGTGTGCATTGATCTCACAGAGTTGAAAGTTTATTTTGATTGAGCTGTTTTGAAACACTCTTTTTCTAGAATCTGCAAGTGGATAATTGGGGAGATTTGAGGCATATTGTGGAAAAGCCAATATCTTCATATAGAAACTATACAGAAACCTTCTGAGAAACATCTTTGTGATGTGTGCATTCAGCTCACAGAGCTGGACCTAACTTTTGAGTGACCAGTTTTGAATCTCTCTTTTTGTACAATATGCAAGTGGATATTTGGAGCGATTTGAGGCCTACATTTGAAAATCAAATATCTTCCCTTAAAAACTACACAGAAACATTCTCAGAAATTGTTTGTCATGTGTGCTTTCCAATTACCAAGTTGAACCTATCTTGTGATTGAGCAGTTTTGAATCTCTCTTTTTGTGGAATCGGCAAGTGGATATTTTTAGCCCTTTGCGGACTGTGGTGGAAAAGGAATTATCTTCAAATCAATTCTACACAGAAGCATTCAGACAAACTTCTTTGTGATGAGTGCATTGGTCACACAGAATTGAACCTTCCCTTTGATTGAGCAATTCTGAAACACTCTTTTGGAGGGTCTGCAAGTGGACATTTTAGAGCTTTGGGACAACTGTGGAAAAGTAAATATCTTCACATAAAAACTACACGGAAGCATTCTGAGAAACTTCTTTGGAGGTGTGCATTCAACTCACAGAGTTGAACCTATCTTTTCATTGAGCAGTTTTGAATCTCTCATTTTGTAGACTCTGCTCGCAGATATTTGGAGAGCTTTGAGGCCTATTGTGGAAAAGGAAATATCTTCACATAAAAACACACAGAAGCACTCTGAGAAACTTCTTTGTGAGGTGTGCTTTCAACTCACAGAGTTGAACCTATCTTTTGATTGAGAAGTTTTGAATCTCTCTTTTTGTAGAAGCTGCATGTGGATATTTGGAGACGTTTGTGGCCTATGGTAGAAAAGGAAATATCTTCAAATAAAAACTAGACAGACGCATTTTGAGAAAATTCTCTGTGCTGTGTGCATTCATATCACATGGTTGAAACTACCTTTGGATTGAGCAGTTTTGAATCTCACTTTTTGTACCATCTGCAATGGATAATTGGAGCCCTTTCTGGTCTGTGGTGGAAAAGGAACTATCCTCAAATAGAAACTACACAGAAGTACTCTGAGAAACTTCTTTGTGATGTGGGCATTCATCTCACAGAGTTGAACCTTTGGTTTGATTGAGCAGTTTTGAGACAATCTTTCCATAGAATCTGGAAGTGAATATTTGGAGAACTTTGAGATCCATTTTGGAGAAGGAGATATCTTTATATGAAAACTACACAGAAGCATTCTGAGAAACATCCTTGTGAGGTGTGCACTGAAGTCACAGAGTTGAAACTGTCTTTTGATTCAGCAGTTTTGAATCTCTCTTTTTGCAGAATCTGTGAGTGGATATTTGGAGCGCTTTGAGGCCTACTGTGGAAAACCAAATATCTTCACATAAAAACTACACAGAAGCATCCTGAGAAACTTTTTTTGTGATGTGGTCTTTCAGCTAATGGAGTAGAAACTATCTTTTGATTGAGCAGTTTTGAATCTCTCTTTTTGCAGAATCTACGAGTGGATAATTGGAGAACTTTGAGGCGTACTGTGGAAAATCGAATATCTTCGCATAAAAACTACACAGAAGCATTCTGAGAAACTTCTCTGTCATACGTACATTCATCTCACAGGGTTGATCCTATTTCATGATTGAGCAGTTTTGGAACACTCTTTTTGTAGAATCTGCAAGTGAATATTTGGAGCTCTTTGGGGCCTACTGTGGAAAAACAAATATCTTCACATAAAAACTACACAGAAGCATTCTGAGAAACTACTTTGTGATGTGTGCATTCATCCCACAGAGTAGAAACTTTCTTTTGATTGAGCAGTTTCGAAACACTCTTTTGGTGGAATCTGCAAGTGGACATTTGGAAAGCTTTGAGGCCTATTGTGGAAAGGGAAATATCTTCAAATAAAAACCACCCAGAAGTACTCTGTGAAACTTCTTTGCGATGTATGCATTCAACTCACAGTGTTGAACCTATGTTTTGATTGAGCAGTTTGGAATCTCTCTTTCTGTAGAATCTGCAAGTGAATATTTGGAGCCCTATTTCGCCCTATACTGGAAAAGCAATTATCTTCAAATAAAAACTGCACAGAAGCACTCAGAGAAACTTCTTTGTGATGAATGCATTCATCACACAGAGTTGAACCTTTGTTTTGATTTAGCAGTTTGAGACAATCTTTCCGTAGAATCTTGAAGTGAATATTTGGAGGGCTTGGAGTTCTGTTTTAGAGAAGAAGATATCTTCATCAAAAACTACACAGAAGCTTTCTGAGAAACTTCTTTGTGATGTGTGCATTCAACTATCGGAGTTGAACCTATCTTATGATTGAGGAGTTTGGAAACACTCTTTGTAGAGTCTGCAAGTGGATATTTACAGAGATTTGAGGCCTATTGTGGAAAAGGAAGTATCTTCACATAAAAACCACACAGAAGCACTCTGAAAAACATCTTTGGGATGTGTGCATTCAACTAACCGTGTTGAAACAATGTTTTGATTGAGCAGCTTAGAATCTCTCTTTTTGTAGGAAATGCAAGTGGATATTTGGAGCCCCATTTCGCCCTATGGTGGAAAACGAAACATACTCACAAAAAAGCTGCAGAGAAGCATTCTGAGAAACTTCTTTGCGATGTTGGCATTCAACTCACAGAGTCGAATCTATCTTTTGATAGAGCAGTTTTGTATCTCTCTTTTTGCAGAATCTGCAAGTGGATATTTGGAAAGCTTTGAGGCCTATTGTGGAAAGGGAAATATCCTCAAATAAAAACTACCCAGAAGCACTCTGTGAAACTTCTTTGTGATGTGTGCATTCAACTCACAGTGTTGAACCTATGTTTTGATTGAGCAGTTTGGAATCTCTCCTTTTGTAGAATCTGCAAGTGAATATTTGGAGCCCTATTTCGCCCTATACTGGAAAAGCAAATATCTTCAAATAAAAACTACACAGAGGCATTCAGAGAAACTTCTCTGTGATGAGTGCATTCATCACACAGAGTTGAACATTTGTTTAGATTTAGCAGTGTTGAGACAATCTTTCCGTAGAATCTTGAAGTGAATATTTGGAGGGCTTTGAGACCTGCTTTGGAGAAGGAGATATCTTTCATATAAAAACTACACAGAAGCTTTCTGAGAAACACCCTTGTGAGGTGTGCATTGAAGTCACAGAGTTAAACCTATCTTTTGATTCAGCAGATTTGAATCTCTCTTTTTGCAGAATCTGCGAGTGGATATTTGGAGTGCTTGGAAGCCTGCTGTGGAAAATCAAATATCTTCACAAAAAAAACTACACAGAAGCATTCTGAGAAACTTCTTTGTGATGTGTGCATTGATCTCACAGAGTTGAAAGTTTATTTTGATTGAGCTGTTTTGAAACACTCTTTTTCTAGAATCTGCAAGTGGATAATTGGGGAGATTTGAGGCATATTGTGGAAAAGCAAATATCTTCATATAGAAACTATACAGAAACCTTCTGAGAAACATCTTTGTGATGTGTGCATTCAGCTCACAGAGCTGGACCTAACTTTTGAGTGACCAGTTTTGAATCTCTCTTTTTGTACAATATGCAAGTGGATATTTGGAGCGATTTGAGGCCTACATTTGAAAATCAAATATCTTCCCTTAAAAACTACACAGAAACATTCTCAGAAATTGTTTGTCATGTGTGCTTTCCAATTACCAAGTTGAACCTATCTTGTGATTGAGCAGTTTTGAATCTCTCTTTTTGTGGAATCGGCAAGTGGATATTTTTAGCCCTTTGCGGACTGTGGTGGAAAAGGAATTATCTTCAAATCAATTCTACACAGAAGCATTCAGACAAACTTCTTTGTGATGAGTGCATTGGTCACACAGAATTGAACCTTCCCTTTGATTGAGCAATTATGAAACACTCTTTTGGAGGGTCTGCAAGTGGATATTTTAGAGCTTTGGGACAACTGTGGAAAAGTAAATATCTTCACATAAAAACTACACGGAAGCATTCTGAGAAACTTCTTTGGAGGTGTGCATTCAACTCACAGAGTTGAACCTATCTTTTCATTGAGCAGTTTTGAATCTCTCATTTTGTAGACTCTGCTCGCAGATATTTGGAGAGCTTTGAGGCCTATTGTGGAAAAGGAAATATCTTCACATAAAAACACACAGAAGCACTCTGAGAAACTTCTTTGTGAGGTGTGCTTTCAACTCACAGAGTTGAACCTATCTTTTGATTGAGAAGTTTTGAATCTCTCTTTTTGTAGAAGCTGCATGTGGATATTTGGAGACGTTTGTGGCCTATGGTAGAAAAGGAAATATCTTCAAATAAAAACTAGACAGACGCATTTTGAGAAAATTCTCTGTGCTGTGTGCATTCATATCACATGGTTGAAACTACCTTTGGATTGAGCAGTTTTGAATCTCACTTTTTGTACCATCTGCAATGGATATTTGGAGCCCTTTCTGGTCTGTGGTGGAAAAGGAACTATCCTCAAATAGGAACTACACAGAATTACTCTGAGAAACTTCTTTGTGATGTGTGCATTCATCTCACAGAGTTGAACCTTTGGTTTGATTGAGCAGTTTTGAGACAATCTTTCCATAGAATCTGGAAGTGAATATTTGGAGAACTTTGAGATCCATTTTGGAGAAGGAGATATCTTTATATAAAAACTACACAGAAGCATTCTGAGAAACATCCTTGTGAGGTGTGCACTGAAGTCACAGAGTTGAAACTGTCTTTTGATTCAGCAGTTTTGAATCTCTCTTTTTGCAGAATCTGTGAGTGGATATTTGGAGCGCTTTGAGGCCTACTGTGGAAAACCAAATATCTTCACATAAAAACTACACAGAAGCATCCTGAGAAACTTTTTTTGTGATGTGGTCTTTCAGCTAATGGAGTAGAAACTATCTTTTGATTGAGCAGTTTTGAATCTCTCTTTTTGCAGAATCTACGAGTGGATAATTGGAGAACTTTGAGGCGTACTGTGGAAAATCGAATATCTTCGCATAAAAACTACACAGAAGCATTCTGAGAAACTTCTCTGTCATACGTACATTCATCTCACAGGGTTGATCCTATTTCATGATTGAGCAGTTTTGGAACACTCTTTTTGTAGAATCTGCAAGTGAATATTTGGAGCTCTTTGGGGCCTACTGTGGAAAAACAAATATCTTCACATAAAAACTACACAGAAGCATTCTGAGAAACTACTTTGTGATGTGTGCATTCATCCCACAGAGTAGAACCTTTCTTTTGATTGAGCAGTTTTGAAACACTCTTTTGGTGGAATCTGCAAGTGGACATTTGGAAAGCTTTGAGGCCTATTGTGGAAAGGGAAATATCTTCAAATAAAAACCACCCAGAAGTACTCTGTGAAACTTCTTTGCGATGTATGCATTCAACTCACAGTGTTGAACCTATGTTTTGATTGAGCAGTTTGGAATCTCTCTTTCTGTAGAATCTGCAAGTGAATATTTGGAGCCCTATTTCGCCCTATACTGGAAAAGCAATTATCTTCAAATAAAAACTGCACAGAAGCACTCAGAGAAACTTCTTTGTGATGAATGCATTCATCACACAGAGTTGAACCTTTGTTTTGATTTAGCAGTTTGAGACAATCTTTCCGTAGAATCTTGAAGTGAATATTTGGAGGGCTTGGAGTTCTGTTTTAGAGAAGAAGATATCTTCATCAAAAACTACACAGAAGCTTTCCGAGAAACTTCTTTGTGATGTGTGCATTCAACTATCGGAGTTGAACCTATCTTATGATTGAGGAGTTTGGAAACACTCTTTGTAGAGTCTGCAAGTGGATATTTACAGAGATTTGAGGCCTATTGTGGAAAAGGAAGTATCTTCACATAAAAACCACACAGAAGCACTCTGAAAAACATCTTTGGGATGTGTGCATTCAACTAACCGTGTTGAAACAATGTTTTGATTGAGCAGCTTAGAATCTCTCTTTTTGTAGGAAATGCAAGTGGATATTTGGAGCCCCATTTCGCCCTATGGTGGAAAACGAAACATACTCACAAAAAAGCTGCAGAGAAGCATTCTGAAAAACTTCTTTGCGATGTTGGCATTCAACTCACAGAGTCGAATCTATCTTTTGATAGAGCAGTTTTGTATCTCTCTTTTTGCAGAATCTGCAAGTGGATATTTGGAAAGCTTTGAGGCCTATTGTGGAAAGGGAAATATCCTCAAATAAAAACTACCCAGAAGCACTCTGTGAAACTTCTTTGTGATGTGTGCATTCAACTCACAGTGTTGAACCTATGTTTTGATTGAGCAGTTTGGAATCTCTCCTTTTGTAGAATCTGCAAGTGAATATTTGGAGCCCTATTTCGCCCTATACTGGAAAAGCAAATATCTTCAAATAAAAACTACACAGAGGCATTCAGAGAAACTTCTCTGTGATGAGTGCATTCATCACACAGAGTTGAACATTTGTTTAGATTTAGCAGTGTTGAGACAATCTTTCCGTAGAATCTTGAAGTGAATATTTGGAGGGCTTTGAGACCTGCTTTGGAGAAGGAGATATCTTCATATAAAAACTACACAGAAGCTTTCTGAGAAACACCCTTGTGAGGTGTGCATTGAAGTCACAGAGTTAAACCTATCTTTTGATTCAGCAGATTTGAATCTCTCTTTTTGCAGAATCTGCGAGTGGATATTTGGAGTGCTTGGAAGCCTGCTGTGGAAAATCAAATATCTTCACAAAAAAAACTACACAGAAGCATTCTGAGAAACTTCTTTGTGATGTGTGCATTGATCTCACAGAGTTGAAAGTTTATTTTGATTGAGCTGTTTTGAAACACTCTTTTTCTAGAATCTGCAAGTGGATAATTGGGGAGATTTGAGGCATATTGTGGAAAAGCCAATATCTTCATATAAAAACTATACAGAAACCTTCTGAGAAACATCTTTGTGATGTGTGCATTCAGCTCACAGAGCTGGACCTAACTTTTGAGTGACCAGTTTTGAATCTCTCTTTTTGTACAATATGCAAGTGGATATTTGGAGCGATTTGAGGCCTACATTTGAAAATCAAATATCTTCCCTTAAAAACTACACAGAAACATTCTCAGAAATTGTTTGTCATGTGTGCTTTCCAATTACCAAGTTGAACCTATCTTGTGATTGAGCAGTTTTGAATCTCTCTTTTTGTGGAATCGGCAAGTGGATATTTTTAGCCCTTTGCGGACTGTGGTGGAAAAGGAATTATCTTCAAATCAATTCTACACAGAAGCATTCAGACAAACTTCTTTGTGATGAGTGCATTGGTCACACAGAATTGAACCTTCCCTTTGATTGAGCAATTCTGAAACACTCTTTTGGAGGGTCTGCAAGTGGACATTTTAGAGCTTTGGGACAACTGTGGAAAAGTAAATATCTTCACATAAAAACTACACGGAAGCATTCTGAGAAACTTCTTTGGAGGTGTGCATTCAACTCACAGAGTTGAACCTATCTTTTCATTGAGCAGTTTTGAATCTCTCATTTTGTAGACTCTGCTCGCAGATATTTGGAGAGCTTTGAGGCCTATTGTGGAAAAGGAAATATCTTCACATAAAAACACACAGAAGCACTCTGAGAAACTTCTTTGTGAGGTGTGCTTTCAACTCACAGAGTTGAACCTATCTTTTGATTGAGAAGTTTTGAATCTCTCTTTTTGTAGAAGCTGCATGTGGATATTTGGAGACGTTTGTGGCCTATGGTAGAAAAGGAAATATCTTCAAATAAAAACTAGACAGACGCATTTTGAGAAAATTCTCTGTGCTGTGTGCATTCATATCACATGGTTGAAACTACCTTTGGATTGAGCAGTTTTGAATCTCACTTTTTGTACCATCTGCAATGGATATTTGGAGCCCTTTCTGGTCTGTGGTGGAAAAGGAACTATCCTCAAATAGAAACTACACAGAAGTACTCTGAGAAACTTCTTTGTGATGTGGGCATTCATCTCACAGAGTTGAACCTTTGGTTTGATTGAGCAGTTTTGAGACAATCTTTCCATAGAATCTGGAAGTGAATATTTGGAGAACTTTGAGATGCATTTTGGAGAAGGAGATATCTTTATATGAAAACTACACAGAAGCATTCTGAGAAACATCCTTGTGAGGTGTGCACTGAAGTCACAGAGTTGAAACTGTCTTTTGATTCAGCAGTTTTGAATCTCTCTTTTTGCAGAATCTGTGAGTGGATATTTGGAGCGCTTTGAGGCCTACTGTGGAAAACCAAATATCTTCACATAAAAACTACACAGAAGCATCCTGAGAAACTTTTTTTGTGATGTGGTCTTTCAGCTAATGGAGTAGAAACTATCTTTTGATTGAGCAGTTTTGAATCTCTCTTTTTGCAGAATCTACGAGTGGATAATTGGAGAACTTTGAGGCGTACTGTGGAAAATCGAATATCTTCGCATAAAAACTACACAGAAGCATTCTGAGAAACTTCTCTGTCATACGTACATTCATCTCACAGGGTTGATCCTATTTCATGATTGAGCAGTTTTGGAACACTCTTTTTGTAGAATCTGCAAGTGAATATTTGGAGCTCTTTGGGGCCTACTGTGGAAAAACAACTATCTTCACATAAAAACTACACAGAAGCATTCTGAGAAACTACTTTGTGATGTGTGCATTCATCCCACAGAGTAGAACCTTTCTTTTGATTGAGCAGTTTCGAAACACTCTTTTGGTGGAATCTGCAAGTGGACATTTGGAAAGCTTTGAGGCCTATTGTGGAAAGGGAAATATCTTCAAATAAAAACCACCCAGAAGTACTCTGTGAAACTTCTTTGCGATGTATGCATTCAACTCACAGTGTTGAACCTATGTTTTGATTGAGCAGTTTGGAATCTCTCTTTCTGTAGAATCTGCAAGTGAATATTTGGAGCCCTATTTCGCCCTATACTGGAAAAGCAATTATCTTCAAATAAAAACTGCACAGAAGCATTCAGAGAAACTTCTTTGAGATGAATGCATTCATGACACAGAGTTGAAACTTTGTTTTGATTTAGCAGTTTGAGACAATCTTTCCGTAGAATCTTGAAGTGAATATTTGGAGGGCTTGGAGTTCTGTTTTAGAGAAGAAGATATCTTCATCAAAAACTACGCAGAAGCTTTCTGAGAAACTTCTTTGTGATGTGTGCATTCAACTATCGGAGTTGAACCTATCTTATGATTGAGGAGTTTGGAAACACTCTTTGTAGAGTCTGCAAGTGGATATTTACAGAGATTTGAGGCCTATTGTGGAAAAGGAAGTATCTTCACATAAAAACCACACAGAAGCACTCTGAAAAACATCTTTGGGATGTGTGCATTCAACTAACCGTGTTGAAACAATGTTTTGATTGAGCAGCTTAGAATCTCTCTTTTTGTAGGAAATGCAAGTGGATATTTGGAGCCCCATTTCGCCCTATGGTGGAAAACGAAACATACTCACAAAAAAGCTGCAGAGAAGCATTCTGAGAAACTTCTTTGCGATGTTGGCATTCAACTCACAGTAGTCGAATCTATCTTTTGATAGAGCAGTTTTGTATCTCTCTTTTTGCAGAATCTGCAAGTGGATATTTGGAAAGCTTTGAGGCCTATTGTGGAAAGGGAAATATCCTCAAATAAAAACTACCCAGAAGCACTCTGTGAAACTTCTTTGTGATGTGTGCATTCAACTCACAGTGTTGAACCTATGTTTTGATTGAGCAGTTTGGAATCTCTCCTTTTGTAGAATCTGCAAGTGAATATTTGGAGCCCTATTTCGCCCTATACTGGAAAAGCAAATATCTTCAAATAAAAACTACACAGAGGCATTCAGAGAAACTTCTCTGTGATGAGTGCATTCATCACACAGAGTTGAACATTTGTTTAGATTTAGCAGTGTTGAGACAATCTTTCCGTAGAATCTTGAAGTGAATATTTGGAGGGCTTTGAGACCTGCTTTGGAGAAGGAGATATCTTCATATAAAAACTACACAGAAGCTTTCTGAGAAACACCCTTGTGAGGTGTGCATTGAAGTCACAGAGTTAAACCTATCTTTTGATTCAGCAGATTTGAATCTCTCTTTTTGCAGAATCTGCGAGTGGATATTTGGAGTGCTTGGAAGCCTGCTGTGGAAAATCAAATATCTTCACAAAAAAAACTACACAGAAGCATTCTGAGAAACTTCTTTGTGATGTGTGCATTGATCTCACAGAGTTGAAAGTTTATTTTGATTGAGCTGTTTTGAAACACTCTTTTTCTAGAATCTGCAAGTGGATAATTGGGGAGATTTGAGGCATATTGTGGAAAAGCAAATATCTTCATATAGAAACTATACAGAAACCTTCTGAGAAACATCTTTGTGATGTGTGCATTCAGCTCACAGAGCTGGACCTAACTTTTGAGTGACCAGTTTTGAATCTCTCTTTTTGTACAATATGCAAGTGGATATTTGGAGCGATTTGAGGCCTACATTTGAAAATCAAATATCTTCCCTTAAAAACTACACAGAAACATTCTCAGAAATTGTTTGTCATGTGTGCTTTCCAATTACCAAGTTGAACCTATCTTGTGATTGAGCAGTTTTGAATCTCTCTTTTTGTGGAATCGGCAAGTGGATATTTTTAGCCCTTTGCGGACTGTGGTGGAAAAGGAATTATCTTCAAATCAATTCTACACAGAAGCATTCAGACAAACTTCTTTGTGATGAGTGCATTGGTCACACAGAATTGAACCTTCCCTTTGATTGAGCAATTCTGAAACACTCTTTTGGAGGGTCTGCAAGTGGACATTTTAGAGCTTTGGGACAACTGTGGAAAAGTAAATATCTTCACATAAAAACTACACGGAAGCATTCTGAGAAACTTCTTTGGAGGTGTGCATTCAACTCACAGAGTTGAACCTATCTTTTCATTGAGCAGTTTTGAATCTCTCATTTTGTAGACTCTGCTCGCAGATATTTGGAGAGCTTTGAGGCCTATTGTGGAAAAGGAAATATCTTCACATAAAAACACACAGAAGCACTCTGAGAAACTTCTCTGTGAGGTGTGCTTTCAACTCACAGAGTTGAACCTATCTTTTGATTGAGAAGTTTTGAATCTCTCTTTTTGTAGAAGCTGCATGTGGATATTTGGAGACGTTTGTGGCCTATGGTAGAAAAGGAAATATCTTCAAATAAAAACTAGACAGACGCATTTTGAGAAAATTCTCTGTGCTGTGTGCATTCATATCACATGGTTGAAACTACCTTTGGATTGAGCAGTTTTGAATCTCACTTTTTGTACCATCTGCAATGGATATTTGGAGCCCTTTCTGGTCTGTGGTGGAAAAGGAACTATCCTCAAATAGAAACTACACAGAAGTACTCTGAGAAACTTCTTTGTGATGTGGGCATTCATCTCACAGAGTTGAACCTTTGGTTTGATTGAGCAGTTTTGAGACAATCTTTCCATAGAATCTGGAAGTGAATATTTGGAGAACTTTGAGATCCATTTTGGAGAAGGAGATACCTTTATATGAAAACTACACAGAAGCATTCTGAGAAACATCCTTGTGAGGTGTGCACTGAAGTCACAGAGTTGAAACTGTCTTTTGATTCAGCAGTTTTGAATCTCTCTTTTTGCAGAATCTGTGAGTGGATATTTGGAGCGCTTTGAGGCCTACTGTGGAAAACCAAATATCTTCACATAAAAACTACACAGAAAGCATCCTGAGAAACTTTTTTTGTGATGTGGTCTTTCAGCTAATGGAGTAGAAACTATCTTTTGATTGAGCAGTTTTGAATCTCTCTTTTTGCAGAATCTACGAGTGGATAATTGGAGAACTTTGAGGCGTACTGTGGAAAGTCGAATATCTTCGCATAAAAACTACACAGAAGCATTCTGAGAAACTTCTCTGTCATACGTACATTCATCTCACAGGGTTGATCCTATTTCATGATTGAGCAGTTTCGGAACACTCTTTTTGTAGAATCTGCAAGTGAATATTTGGAGCTCCTTGGGGCCTACTGTGGAAAAACAAATATCTTCACATAAAAACTACACAGAAGCATTCTGAGAAACTACTTTGTGATGTGTGCATTCATCCCACAGAGTAGAACCTTTCTTTTGATTGAGCAGTTTCGAAACACTCTTTTGGTGGAATCTGCAAGTGGACATTTGGAAAGCTTTGAGGCCTATTGTGGAAAGGGAAATATCTTCAAATAAAAACCACCCAGAAGTACTCTGTGAAACTTCTTTGCGATGTATGCATTCAACTCACAGTGTTGAACCTATGTTTTGATTGAGCAGTTTGGAATCTCTCTTTCTGTAGAATCTGCAAGTGAATATTTGGAGCCCTATTTCGCCCTATACTGGAAAAGCAATTATCTTCAAATAAAAACTGCACAGAAGCATTCAGAGAAACTTCTTTGAGATGAATGCATTCATGACACAGAGTTGAAACTTTGTTTTGATTTAGGAGTTTTGAGACAATCTTTCCGTAGAATCTTGAAGTGAATATTTGGAGGGCTTGGAGTTCTGTTTTAGAGAAGAAGATATCTTCATCAAAAACTACACAGAATCTTTCTGAGAAACTTCTTTGTGATGTGTGCATTCAACTATCGGAGTTGAACCTATCTTATGATTGAGCAGTTTGGAAACACTCTTTGTAGAGTCTGCAAGTGGATATTTACAGAGATTTGAGGCCTATTGTGGAAAAGGAAGTATCTTCACATAAAAACCACACAGAAGCACTCTGAAAAACACCTTTGGGATGTGTGCATTCAACTAACCGTGTTGAAACAATGTTTTGATTGAGCAGCTTAGAATCTCTCTTTTTGTAGGAAATGCAAGTGGATATTTGGAGCCCCATTTCGCCCTATGGTGGAAAACGAAACATACTCACAAAAAAGCTGCAGAGAAGCATTCTGAGAAACTTCTTTGCGATGTTGGCATTCAACTCACAGAGTCGAATCTATCTTTTGATAGAGCAGTTTTGTATCTCTCTTTTTGCAGAATCTGCAAGTGGATATTTGGAAAGCTTTGAGGCCTATTGTGGAAAGGGAAATATCCTCAAATAAAAACTACCCAGAAGCACTCTGTGAAACTTCTTTGTGATGTGTGCATTCAACTCACAGTGTTGAACCTATGTTTTGATTGAGCAGTTTGGAATCTCTCCTTTTGTAGAATCTGCAAGTGAATATTTGGAGCCCTATTTCGCCCTATACTGGAAAAGCAAATATCTTCAAATAAAAACTACACAGAGGCATTCAGAGAAACTTCTCTGTGATGAGTGCATTCATCACACAGAGTTGAACATTTGTTTAGATTTAGCAGTGTTGAGACAATCTTTCCGTAGAATCTTGAAGTGAATATTTGGAGGGCTTTGAGACCTGCTTTGGAGAAGGAGATATCTTCATATAAAAACTACACAGAAGCTTTCTGAGAAACACCCTTGTGAGGTGTGCATTGAAGTCACAGAGTTAAACCTATCTTTTGATTCAGCAGATTTGAATCTCTCTTTTTGCAGAATCTGCGAGTGGATATTTGGAGTGCTTGGAAGCCTGCTGTGGAAAATCAAATATCTTCACAAAAAAAACTACACAGAAGCATTCTGAGAAACTTCTTTGTGATGTGTGCATTGATCTCACAGAGTTGAAAGTTTATTTTGATTGAGCTGTTTTGAAACACTCTTTTTCTAGAATCTGCAAGTGGATAATTGGGGAGATTTGAGGCATATTGTGGAAAAGCAAATATCTTCATATAGAAACTATACAGAAACCTTCTGAGAAACATCTTTGTGATGTGTGCATTCAGCTCACAGAGCTGGACCTAACTTTTGAGTGACCAGTTTTGAATCTCTCTTTTTGTACAATATGCAAGTGGATATTTGGAGCGATTTGAGGCCTACATTTGAAAATCAAATATCTTCCCTTAAAAACTACACAGAAACATTCTCAGAAATTGTTTGTCATGTGTGCTTTCCAATTACCAAGTTGAACCTATCTTGTGATTGAGCAGTTTTGAATCTCTCTTTTTGTGGAATCGGCAAGTGGATATTTTTAGCCCTTTGCGGACTGTGGTGGAAAAGGAATTATCTTCAAATCAATTCTACACAGAAGCATTCAGACAAACTTCTTTGTGATGAGTGCATTGGTCACACAGAATTGAACCTTCCCTTTGATTGAGCAATTCTGAAACACTCTTTTGGAGGGTCTGCAAGTGGATATTTTAGAGCTTTGGGACAGCTGTGGAAAAGTAAATATCTTCACATAAAAACTACACGGAAGCATTCTGAGAAACTTCTTTGGAGGTGTGCATTCAACTCACAGAGTTGAACCTATCTTTTCATTGAGCAGTTTTGAATCTCTCATTTTGTAGACTCTGCTCGCAGATATTTGGAGAGCTTTGAGGCCTATTGTGGAAAAGGAAATATCTTCACATAAAAACACACAGAAGCACTCTGAGAAACTTCTTTGTGAGGTGTGCTTTCAACTCACAGAGTTGAACCTATCTTTTGATTGAGAAGTTTTGAATCTCTCTTTTTGTAGAAGCTGCATGTGGATATTTGGAGACGTTTGTGGCCTATGGTAGAAAAGGAAATATCTTCAAATAAAAACTAGACAGACGCATTTTGAGAAAATTCTCTGTGCTGTGTGCATTCATATCACATGGTTGAAACTACCTTTGGATTGAGCAGTTTTGAATCTCACTTTTTGTACCATCTGCAATGGATATTTGGAGCCCTTTCTGGTCTGTGGTGGAAAAGGAACTATCCTCAAATAGAAACTACACAGAAGTACTCTGAGAAACTTCTTTGTGATGTGGGCATTCATCTCACAGAGTTGAACCTTTGGTTTGATTGAGCAGTTTTGAGACAATCTTTCCATAGAATCTGGAAGTGAATATTTGGAGAACTTTGAGATCCATTTTGGAGAAGGAGATATCTTTATATGAAAACTACACAGAAGCATTCTGAGAAACATCCTTGTGAGGTGTGCACTGAAGTCACAGAGTTGAAACTGTCTTTTGATTCAGCAGTTTTGAATCTCTCTTTTTGCAGAACCTGTGAGTGGATATTTGGAGCGCTTTGAGGCCTACTGTGGAAAACCAAATATCTTCACATAAAAACTACACAGAAGCATCCTGAGAAACTTTTTTTGTGATGTGGTCTTTCAGCTAATGGAGTAGAAACTATCTTTTGATTGAGCAGTTTTGAATCTCTCTTTTTGCAGGATCTACGAGTGGATAATTGGAGAACTTTGAGGCGTACTGTGGAAAATCGAATATCTTCGCATAAAAACTACACAGAAGCATTCTGAGAAACTTCTCTGTCATACGTACATTCATCTCACAGGGTTGATCCTATTTCATGATTGAGCAGTTTTGGAACACTCTTTTTGTAGAATCTGCAAGTGAATATTTGGAGCTCTTCGGGGCCTACTGTGGAAAAACAAATATCTTCACATAAAAACTACACAGAAGCATTCTGAGAAACTACTTTGTGATGTGTGCATTCATCCCACAGAGTAGAACCTTTCTTTTGATTGAGCAGTTTCGAAACACTCTTTTGGTGGAATCTGCAAGTGGACATTTGGAAAGCTTTGAGGCCTATTGTGGAAAGGGAAATATCTTCAAATAAAAACCACCCAGAAGTACTCTGTGAAACTTCTTTGCGATGTATGCATTCAACTCACAGTGTTGAACCTATGTTTTGATTGAGCAGTTTGGAATCTCTCTTTCTGTAGAATCTGCAAGTGAATATTTGGAGCCCTATTTCGCCCTATAGTGGAAAAGCAATTATCTTCAAATAAAAACTGCACAGAAGCACTCAGAGAAACTTCTTTGTGATGAATGCATTCATCACACAGAGTTGAACCTTTGTTTTGATTTAGCAGTTTGAGACAATCTTTCCGTAGAATCTTGAAGTGAATATTTGGAGGGCTTGGAGTTCTGTTTTAGAGAAGAAGATATCTTCATCAAAAACTACACAGAAGGTTTCTGAGAAACTTCTTTGTGATGTGTGCATTCAACTATCGGAGTTGAACCTATCTTATGATTGAGGAGTTTGGAAACACTCTTTGTAGAGTCTGCAAGTGGATATTTACAGAGATTTGAGGCCTATTGTGGAAAAGGAAGTATCTTCACATAAAAACCACACAGAAGCACTCTGAAAAACATCTTTGGGATGTGTGCATTCAACTAACCGTGTTGAAACAATGTTTTGATTGAGCAGCTTAGAATCTCTCTTTTTGTAGGAAATGCAAGTGGATATTTGGAGCCCCATTTCGCCCTATGGTGGAAAACGAAACATACTCA
This sequence comes from Homo sapiens, assembly GCF_000001405.40. Classification (NCBI taxonomy): domain Eukaryota; kingdom Metazoa; phylum Chordata; class Mammalia; order Primates; family Hominidae; genus Homo; species Homo sapiens. The sequence goes on from NC_000015.10 coordinate 18,089,161, forward strand.
CAAAAAAGCTGCAGAGAAGCATTCTGAGAAACTTCTTTGCGATGTTGGCATTCAACTCACAGAGTCGAATCTATCTTTTGATAGAGCAGTTTTGTATCTCTCTTTTTGCAGAATCTGCAAGTGGATATTTGGAAAGCTTTGAGGCCTATTGTGGAAAGGGAAATATCCTCAAATAAAAACTACCCAGAAGCACTCTGTGAAACTTCTTTGTGATGTGTGCATTCAACTCACAGTGTTGAACCTATGTTTTGATTGAGCAGTTTGGAATCTCTCCTTTTGTAGAATCTGCAAGTGAATATTTGGAGCCCTATTTCGCCCTATACTGGAAAAGCAAATATCTTCAAATAAAAACTACACAGAGGCATTCAGAGAAACTTCTCTGTGATGAGTGCATTCATCACACAGAGTTGAACATTTGTTTAGATTTAGCAGTGTTGAGACAATCTTTCCGTAGAATCTTGAAGTGAATATTTGGAGGGCTTTGAGACCTGCTTTGGAGAAGGAGATATCTTCATATAAAAACTACACAGAAGCTTTCTGAGAAACACCCTTGTGAGGTGTGCATTGAAGTCACAGAGTTAAACCTATCTTTTGATTCAGCAGATTTGAATCTCTCTTTTTGCAGAATCTGCGAGTGGATATTTGGAGTGCTTGGAAGCCTGCTGTGGAAAATCAAATATCTTCACAAAAAAAACTACACAGAAGCATTCTGAGAAACTTCTTTGTGATGTGTGCATTGATCTCACAGAGTTGAAAGTTTATTTTGATTGAGCTGTTTTGAAACACTCTTTTTCTAGAATCTGCAAGTGGATAATTGGGGAGATTTGAGGCATATTGTGGAAAAGCCAATATCTTCATATAAAAACTATACAGAAACCTTCTGAGAAACATCTTTGTGATGTGTGCATTCAGCTCACAGAGCTGGACCTAACTTTTGAGTGACCAGTTTTGAATCTCTCTTTTTGTACAATATGCAAGTGGATATTTGGAGCGATTTGAGGCCTACATTTGAAAATCAAATATCTTCCCTTAAAAACTACACAGAAACATTCTCAGAAATTGTTTGTCATGTGTGCTTTCCAATTACCAAGTTGAACCTATCTTGTGATTGAGCAGTTTTGAATCTCTCTTTTTGTGGAATCGGCAAGTGGATATTTTTAGCCCTTTGCGGACTGTGGTGGAAAAGGAATTATCTTCAAATCAATTCTACACAGAAGCATTCAGACAAACTTCTTTGTGATGAGTGCATTGGTCACACAGAATTGAACCTTCCCTTTGATTGAGCAATTCTGAAACACTCTTTTGGAGGGTCTGCAAGTGGATATTTTAGAGCTTTGGGACAACTGTGGAAAAGTAAATATCTTCACATAAAAACTACACGGAAGCATTCTGAGAAACTTCTTTGGAGGTGTGCATTCAACTCACAGAGTTGAACCTATCTTTTCATTGAGCAGTTTTGAATCTCTCATTTTGTAGACTCTGCTCGCAGATATTTGGAGAGCTTTGAGGCCTATTGTGGAAAAGGAAATATCTTCACATAAAAACACACAGAAGCACTCTGAGAAACTTCTTTGTGAGGTGTGCTTTCAACTCACAGAGTTGAACCTATCTTTTGATTGAGAAGTTTTGAATCTCTCTTTTTGTAGAAGCTGCATGTGGATATTTGGAGACGTTTGTGGCCTATGGTAGAAAAGAAAATATCTTCAAATAAAAACTAGACAGACGCATTTTGAGAAAATTCTCTGTGCTGTGTGCATTCATATCACATGGTTGAAACTACCTTTGGATTGAGCAGTTTTGAATCTCACTTTTTGTACCATCTGCAATGGATATTTGGAGCCCTTTCTGGTCTGTGGTGGAAAAGGAACTATCCTCAAATAGAAACTACACAGAAGTACTCTGAGAAACTTCTTTGTGATGTGGGCATTCATCTCACAGAGTTGAACCTTTGGTTTGATTGAGCAGTTTTGAGACAATCTTTCCATAGAATCTGGAAGTGAATATTTGGAGAACTTTGAGATCCATTTTGGAGAAGGAGATATCTTTATATGAAAACTACACAGAAGCATTCTGAGAAACATCCTTGTGAGGTGTGCACTGAAGTCACAGAGTTGAAACTGTCTTTTGATTCAGCAGTTTTGAATCTCTCTTTTTGCAGAATCTGTGAGTGGATATTTGGAGCGCTTTGAGGCCTACTGTGGAAAACCAAATATCTTCACATAAAAACTACACAGAAAGCATCCTGAGAAACTTTTTTTGTGATGTGGTCTTTCAGCTAATGGAGTAGAAACTATCTTTTGATTGAGCAGTTTTGAGTCTCTCTTTTTGCAGGATCTACGAGTGGATAATTGGAGAACTTTGAGGCGTACTGTGGAAAATCGAATATCTTCGCATAAAAACTACACAGAAGCATTCTGAGAAACTTCTCTGTCATACGTACATTCATCTCACAGGGTTGATCCTATTTCATGATTGAGCAGTTTTGGAACACTCTTTTTGTAGAATCTGCAAGTGAATATTTGGAGCTCTTTGGGGCCTACTGTGGAAAAACAAATATCTTCACATAAAAACTACACAGAAGCATTCTGAGAAACTACTTTGTGATGTGTGCATTCATCCCACAGAGTAGAACCTTTCTTTTGATTGAGCAGTTTCGAAACACGCTTTTGGTGGAATCTGCAAGTGGACATTTGGAAAGCTTTGAGGCCTATTGTGGAAAGGGAAATATCTTCAAATAAAAACCACCCAGAAGTACTCTGTGAAACTTCTTTGCGATGTATGCATTCAACTCACAGTGTTGAACCTATGTTTTGATTGAGCAGTTTGGAATCTCTCTTTCTGTAGAATCTGCAAGTGAATATTTGGAGCCCTATTTCGCCCTATACTGGAAAAGCAATTATCTTCAAATAAAAACTGCACAGAAGCATTCAGAGAAACTTCTTTGAGATGAATGCATTCATGACACAGAGTTGAAACTTTGTTTTGATTTAGGAGTTTTGAGACAATCTTTCCGTAGAATCTTGAAGTGAATATTTGGAGGGCTTGGAGTTCTGTTTTAGAGAAGAAGATATCTTCATCAAAAACTACACAGAAGCTTTCTGAGAAACTTCTTTGTGATGTGTGCATTCAACTATCGGAGTTGAACCTATCTTATGATTGAGCAGTTTGGAAACACTCTTTGTAGAGTCTGCAAGTGGATATTTACAGAGATTTGAGGCCTATTGTGGAAAAGGAAGTATCTTCACATAAAAACCACACAGAAAGCACTCTGAAAAACATCTTTGGGATGTGTGCATTCAACTAACCGTGTTGAAACAATGTTTTGATTGAGCAGCTTAGAATCTCTCTTTTTGTAGGAAATGCAAGTGGATATTTGGAGCCCCATTTCGCCCTATGGTGGAAAACGAAACATACTCACAAAAAAGCTGCAGAGAAGCATTCTGAGAAACTTCTTTGCGATGTTGGCATTCAACTCACAGAGTCGAATCTATCTTTTGATAGAGCAGTTTTGTATCTCTCTTTTTGCAGAATCTGCAAGTGGATATTTGGAAAGCTTTGAGGCCTATTGTGGAAAGGGAAATATCCTCAAATAAAAACTACCCAGAAGCACTCTGTGAAACTTCTTTGTGATGTGTGCATTCAACTCACAGTGTTGAACCTATGTTTTGATTGAGCAGTTTGGAATCTCTCCTTTTGTAGAATCTGCAAGTGAATATTTGGAGCCCTATTTCGCCCTATACTGGAAAAGCAAATATCTTCAAATAAAAACTACACAGAGGCATTCAGAGAAACTTCTCTGTGATGAGTGCATTCATCACACAGAGTTGAATATTTGTTTAGATTTAGCAGTGTTGAGACAATCTTTCCGTAGAATCTTGAAGTGAATATTTGGAGGGCTTTGAGACCTGCTTTGGAGAAGGAGATATCTTCATATAAAAACTACACAGAAGCTTTCTGAGAAACACCCTTGTGAGGTGTGCATTGAAGTCACAGAGTTAAACCTATCTTTTGATTCAGCAGATTTGAATCTCTCTTTTTGCAGAATCTGCGAGTGGATATTTGGAGTGCTTGGAAGCCTGCTGTGGAAAATCAAATATCTTCACAAAAAAAACTACACAGAAGCATTCTGAGAAACTTCTTTGTGATGTGTGCATTGATCTCACAGAGTTGAAAGTTTATTTTGATTGAGCTGTTTTGAAACACTCTTTTTCTAGAATCTGCAAGTGGATAATTGGGGAGATTTGAGGCATATTGTGGAAAAGCCAATATCTTCATATAAAAACTATACAGAAACCTTCTGAGAAACATCTTTGTGATGTGTGCATTCAGCTCACAGAGCTGGACCTAACTTTTGAGTGACCAGTTTTGAATCTCTCTTTTTGTACAATATGCAAGTGGATATTTGGAGCGATTTGAGGCCTACATTTGAAAATCAAATATCTTCCCTTAAAAACTACACAGAAACATTCTCAGAAATTGTTTGTCATGTGTGCTTTCCAATTACCAAGTTGAACCTATCTTGTGATTGAGCAGTTTTGAATCTCTCTTTTTGTGGAATCGGCAAGTGGATATTTTTAGCCCTTTGCGGACTGTGGTGGAAAAGGAATTATCTTCAAATCAATTCTACACAGAAGCATTCAGACAAACTTCTTTGTGATGAGTGCATTGGTCACACAGAATTGAACCTTCCCTTTGATTGAGCAATTCTGAAACACTCTTTTGGAGGGTCTGCAAGTGGATATTTTAGAGCTTTGGGACAGCTGTGGAAAAGTAAATATCTTCACATAAAAACTACACGGAAGCATTCTGAGAAACTTCTTTGGAGGTGTGCATTCAACTCACAGAGTTGAACCTATCTTTTCATTGAGCAGTTTTGAATCTCTCATTTTGTAGACTCTGCTCGCAGATATTTGGAGAGCTTTGAGGCCTATTGTGGAAAAGGAAATATCTTCACATAAAAACACACAGAAGCACTCTGAGAAACTTCTTTGTGAGGTGTGCTTTCAACTCACAGAGTTGAACCTATCTTTTGATTGAGAAGTTTTGAATCTCTCTTTTTGTAGAAGCTGCATGTGGATATTTGGAGACGTTTGTGGCCTATGGTAGAAAAGGAAATATCTTCAAATAAAAACTAGACAGACGCATTTTGAGAAAATTCTCTGTGCTGTGTGCATTCATATCACAGGGTTGAAACTACCTTTGGATTGAGCAGTTTTGAATCTCACATTTTGTACCATCTGCAATGGATATTTGGAGCCCTTTCTGGTCTGTGGTGGAAAAGGAACTATCCTCAAATAGAAACTACACAGAAAGTACTCTGAGAAACTTCTTTGTGATGTGGGCATTCATCTCACAGAGTTGAACCTTTGGTTTGATTGAGCAGTTTTGAGACAATCTTTCCATAGAATCTGGAAGTGAATATTTGGAGAACTTTGAGATCCATTTTGGAGAAGGAGATATCTTTATATGAAAACTACACAGAAGCATTCTGAGAAACATCCTTGTGAGGTGTGCACTGAAGTCACAGAGTTGAAACTGTCTTTTGATTCAGCAGTTTTGAATCTCTCTTTTTGCAGAATCTGTGAGTGGATATTTGGAGCGCTTTGAGGCCTACTGTGGAAAACCAAATATCTTCACATAAAAACTACACAGAAGCATCCTGAGAAACTTTTTTTGTGATGTGGTCTTTCAGCTAATGGAGTAGAAACTATCTTTTGATTGAGCAGTTTTGAATCTCTCTTTTTGCAGAATCTACGAGTGGATAATTGGAGAACTTTGAGGCGTACTGTGGAAAATCGAATATCTTCGCATAAAAAGTACACAGAAGCATTCTGAGAAACTTCTCTGTCATACGTACATTCATCTCACAGGGTTGATCCTATTTCATGATTGAGCAGTTTTGGAACACTCTTTTTGTAGAATCTGCAAGTGAATATTTGGAGCTCTTTGGGGCCTACTGTGGAAAAACAAATATCTTCACATAAAAACTACACAGAAGCATTCTGAGAAACTACTTTGTGATGTGTGCATTCATCCCACAGAGTAGAACCTTTCTTTTGATTGAGCAGTTTCGAAACACTCTTTTGGTGGAATCTGCAAGTGGACATTTGGAAAGCTTTGAGGCCTATTGTGGAAAGGGAAATATCTTCAAATAAAAACCACCCAGAAGTACTCTGTGAAACTTCTTTGCGATGTATGCATTCAACTCACAGTGTTGAACCTATGTTTTGATTGAGCAGTTTGGAATCTCTCTTTCTGTAGAATCTGCAAGTGAATATTTGGAGCCCTATTTCGCCCTATACTGGAAAAGCAATTATCTTCAAATAAAAACTGCACAGAAGCACTCAGAGAAACTTCTTTGTGATGAATGCATTCATCACACAGAGTTGAACCTTTGTTTTGATTTAGCAGTTTGAGACAATCTTTCCGTAGAATCTTGAAGTGAATATTTGGAGGGCTTGGAGTTCTGTTTTAGAGAAGAAGATATCTTCATCAAAAACTACACAGAAGCTTTCTGAGAAACTTCTTTGTGATGTGTGCATTCAACTATCGGAGTTGAACCTATCTTATGATTGAGGAGTTTGGAAACACTCTTTGTAGAGTCTGCAAGTGGATATTTACAGAGATTTGAGGCCTATTGTGGAAAAGGAAGTATCTTCACATAAAAACCACACAGAGAAGCACTCTGAAAAACATCTTTGGGATGTGTGCATTCAACTAACCGTGTTGAAACAATGTTTTGATTGAGCAGCTTAGAATCTCTCTTTTTGTAGGAAATGCAAGTGGATATTTGGAGCCCCATTTCGCCCTATGGTGGAAAACGAAACATACTCACAAAAAAGCTGCAGAGAAGCATTCTGAGAAACTTCTTTGCGATGTTGGCATTCAACTCACAGAGTCGAATCTATCTTTTGATAGAGCAGTTTTGTATCTCTCTTTTTGCAGAATCTGCAAGTGGATATTTGGAAAGCTTTGAGGCCTATTGTGGAAAGGGAAATATCCTCAAATAAAAACTACCCAGAAGCACTCTGTGAAACTTCTTTGTGATGTGTGCATTCAACTCACAGTGTTGAACCTATGTTTTGATTGAGCAGTTTGGAATCTCTCCTTTTGTAGAATCTGCAAGTGAATATTTGGAGCCCTATTTCGCCCTATACTGGAAAAGCAAATATCTTCAAATAAAAACTACACAGAGGCATTCAGAGAAACTTCTCTGTGATGAGTGCATTCATCACACAGAGTTGAACATTTGTTTAGATTTAGCAGTGTTGAGACAATCTTTCCGTAGAATCTTGAAGTGAATATTTGGAGGGCTTTGAGACCTGCTTTGGAGAAGGAGATATCTTCATATAAAAACTACACAGAAGCTTTCTGAGAAACACCCTTGTGAGGTGTGCATTGAAGTCACAGAGTTAAACCTATCTTTTGATTCAGCAGATTTGAATCTCTCTTTTTGCAGAATCTGCGAGTGGATATTTGGAGTGCTTGGAAGCCTGCTGTGGAAAATCAAATTCTTCACAAAAAAAACTACACAGAAGCATTCTGAGAAACTTCTTTGTGATGTGTGCATTGATCTCACAGAGTTGAAAGTTTATTTTGATTGAGCTGTTTTGAAACACTCTTTTTCTAGAATCTGCAAGTGGATAATTGGGGAGATTTGAGGCATATTGTGGAAAAGCCAATATCTTCATATAGAAACTATACAGAAACCTTCTGAGAAACATCTTTGTGATGTGTGCATTCAGCTCACAGAGCTGGACCTAACTTTTGAGTGACCAGTTTTGAATCTCTCTTTTTGTACAATATGCAAGTGGATATTTGGAGCGATTTGAGGCCTACATTTGAAAATCAAATATCTTCCCTTAAAAACTACACAGAAACATTCTCAGAAATTGTTTGTCATGTGTGCTTTCCAATTACCAAGTTGAACCTATCTTGTGATTGAGCAGTTTTGAATCTCTCTTTTTGTGGAATCGGCAAGTGGATATTTTTAGCCCTTTGCGGACTGTGGTGGAAAAGGAATTATCTTCAAATCAATTCTACACAGAAGCATTCAGACAAACTTCTTTGTGATGAGTGCATTGGTCACACAGAATTGAACCTTCCCTTTGATTGAGCAATTCTGAAACACTCTTTTGGAGGGTCTGCAAGTGGACATTTTAGAGCTTTGGGACAACTGTGGAAAAGTAAATATCTTCACATAAAAACTACACGGAAGCATTCTGAGAAACTTCTTTGGAGGTGTGCATTCAACTCACAGAGTTGAACCTATCTTTTCATTGAGCAGTTTTGAATCTCTCATTTTGTAGACTCTGCTCGCAGATATTTGGAGAGCTTTGAGGCCTATTGTGGAAAAGGAAATATCTTCACATAAAAACACACAGAAGCACTCTGAGAAACTTCTCTGTGAGGTGTGCTTTCAACTCACAGAGTTGAACCTATCTTTTGATTGAGAAGTTTTGAATCTCTCTTTTTGTAGAAGCTGCATGTGGATATTTGGAGACGTTTGTGGCCTATGGTAGAAAAGGAAATATCTTCAAATAAAAACTAGACAGACGCATTTTGAGAAAATTCTCTGTGCTGTGTGCATTCATATCACATGGTTGAAATTACCTTTGGATTGAGCAGTTTTGAATCTCACTTTTTGTACCATCTGCAATGGATATTTGGAGCCCTTTCTGGTCTGTGGTGGAAAAGGAACTATCCTCAAATAGAAACTACACAGAAGTACTCTGAGAAACTTCTTTGTGATGTGGGCATTCATCTCACAGAGTTGAACCTTTGGTTTGATTGAGCAGTTTTGAGACAATCTTTCCATAGAATCTGGAAGTGAATATTTGGAGAACTTTGAGATCCATTTTGGAGAAGGAGATATCTTTATATAAAAACTACACAGAAGCATTCTGAGAAACATCCTTGTGAGGTGTGCACTGAAGTCACAGAGTTGAAACTGTCTTTTGATTCAGCAGTTTTGAATCTCTCTTTTTGCAGAATCTGGGAGTGGATATTTGGAGCGCTTTGAGGCCTACTGTGGAAAACCAAATATCTTCACATAAAAACTACACAGAAGCATCCTGAGAAACTTTTTTTGTGATGTGGTCTTTCAGCTAATGGAGTAGAAACTATCTTTTGATTGAGCAGTTTTGAATCTCTCTTTTTGCAGAATCTACGAGTGGATAATTGGAGAACTTTGAGGCGTACTGTGGAAAATCGAATATCTTCGCATAAAAACTACACAGAAGCATTCTGAGAAACTTCTCTGTCATACGTACATTCATCTCACAGGGTTGATCCTATTTCATGATTGAGCAGTTTTGGAACACTCTTTTTGTAGAATCTGCAAGTGAATATTTGGAGCTCCTTGGGGCCTACTGTGGAAAAACAAATATCTTCACATAAAAACTACACAGAAGCATTCTGAGAAACTACTTTGTGATGTGTGCATTCATCCCACAGAGTAGAACCTTTCTTTTGATTGAGCAGTTTCGAAACACTCTTTTGGTGGAATCTGCAAGTGGACATTTGGAAAGCTTTGAGGCCTATTGTGGAAAGGGAAATATCTTCAAATAAAAACCACCCAGAAGTACTCTGTGAAACTTCTTTGCGATGTATGCATTCAACTCACAGTGTTGAACCTATGTTTTGATTGAGCAGTTTGGAATCTCTCTTTCTGTAGAATCTGCAAGTGAATATTTGGAGCCCTATTTCGCCCTATACTGGAAAAGCAATTATCTTCAAATAACAACTGCACAGAAGCATTCAGAGAAACTTCTTTGAGATGAATGCATTCATGACACAGAGTTGAAACTTTGTTTTGATTTAGGAGTTTTGAGACAATCTTTCCGTAGAATCTTGAAGTGAATATTTGGAGGGCTTGGAGTTCTGTTTTAGAGAAGGAGATATCTTCATCAAAAACTACACAGAAAGCTTTCTGAGAAACTTCTTTGTGATGTGTGCATTCAACTATCGGAGTTGAACCTATCTTATGATTGAGGAGTTTGGAAACACTCTTTGTAGAGTCTGCAAGTGGATATTTACAGAGATTTGAGGCCTATTGTGGAAAAGGAAGTATCTTCACATAAAAACCACACAGAAGCACTCTGAAAAACATCTTTGGGATGTGTGCATTCCACTAACCGTGTTGAAACAATGTTTTGATTGAGCAGCTTAGAATCTCTCTTTTTGTAGGAAATGCAAGTGGATATTTGGAGCCCCATTTCGCCCTATGGTGGAAAACGAAACGTACTCTCAAAAAAGCTGCAGAGAAGCATTCTGAGAAACTTCTTTGCGATGTTGGCATTCAACTCACAGAGTCGAATCTATCTTTTGATAGAGCAGTTTTGTATCTCTCTTTTTGCAGAATCTGCAAGTGGATATTTGGAAAGCTTTGAGGCCTATTGTGGAAAGGGAAATATCCTCAAATAAAAACTACCCAGAAGCACTCTGTGAAACTTCTTTGTGATGTGTGCATTCAACTCACAGTGTTGAACCTATGTTTTGATTGAGCAGTTTGGAATCTCTCCTTTTGTAGAATCTGCAAGTGAATATTTGGAGCCCTATTTCGCCCTATACTGGAAAAGCAAATATCTTCAAATAAAAACTACACAGAGGCATTCAGAGAAACTTCTCTGTGATGAGTGCATTCATCACACAGAGTTGAACATTTGTTTAGATTTAGCAGTGTTGAGACAATCTTTCCGTAGAATCTTGAAGTGAATATTTGGAGGGCTTTGAGACCTGCTTTGGAGAAGGAGATATCTTCATATAAAAACTACACAGAAGCTTTCTGAGAAACACCCTTGTGAGGTGTGCATTGAAGTCACAGAGTTAAACCTATCTTTTGATTCAGCAGATTTGAATCTCTCTTTTTGCAGAATCTGCGAGTGGATATTTGGAGTGCTTGGAAGCCTGCTGTGGAAAATCAAATATCTTCACAAAAAAAACTACACAGAAGCATTCTGAGAAACTTCTTTGTGATGTGTGCATTGATCTCACAGAGTTGAAAGTTTATTTTGATTGAGCTGTTTTGAAACACTCTTTTTCTAGAATCTGCAAGTGGATAATTGGGGAGATTTGAGGCATATTGTGGAAAAGCCAATATCTTCATATAGAAACTATACAGAAACCTTCTGAGAAACATCTTTGTGATGTGTGCATTCAGCTCACAGAGCTGGACCTAACTTTTGAGTGACCAGTTTTGAATCTCTCTTTTTGTACAATATGCAAGTGGATATTTGGAGCGATTTGAGGCCTACATTTGAAAATCAAATATCTTCCTTTAAAAACTACACAGAAACATTCTCAGAAATTGTTTGTCATGTGTGCTTTCCAATTACCAAGTTGAACCTATCTTGTGATTGAGCAGTTTTGAATCTCTCTTTTTGTGGAATCGGCAAGTGGATATTTTTAGCCCTTTGCGGACTGTGGTGGAAAAGGAATTATCTTCAAATCAATTCTACACAGAAGCATTCAGACAAACTTCTTTGTGATGAGTGCATTGGTCACACAGAATTGAACCTTCCCTTTGATTGAGCAATTCTGAAACACTCTTTTGGAGGGTCTGCAAGTGGACATTTTAGAGCTTTGGGACAACTGTGGAAAAGTAAATATCTTCACATAAAAACTACACGGAAGCATTCTGAGAAACTTCTTTGGAGGTGTGCATTCAACTCACAGAGTTGAACCTATCTTTTCATTGAGCAGTTTTGAATCTCTCATTTTGTAGACTCTGCTCGCAGATATTTGGAGAGCTTTGAGGCCTATTGTGGAAAAGGAAATATCTTCACATAAAAACACACAGAAGCACTCTGAGAAACTTCTCTGTGAGGTGTGCTTTCAACTCACAGAGTTGAACCTATCTTTTGATTGAGAAGTTTTGAATCTCTCTTTTTGTAGAAGCTGCATGTGGATATTTGGAGACGTTTGTGGCCTATGGTAGAAAAGGAAATATCTTCAAATAAAAACTAGACAGACGCATTTTGAGAAAATTCTCTGTGCTGTGTGCATTCATATCACATGGTTGAAACTACCTTTGGATTGAGCAGTTTTGAATCTCACTTTTTGTACCATCTGCAATGGATATTTGGAGCCCTTTCTGGTCTGTGGTGGAAAAGGAACTATCCTCAAATAGAAACTACACAGAAGTACTCTGAGAAACTTCTTTGTGATGTGGGCATTCATCTCACAGAGTTGAACCTTTGGTTTGATTGAGCAGTTTTGAGACAATCTTTCCATAGAATCTGGAAGTGAATATTTGGAGAACTTTGAGATCCATTTTGGAGAAGGAGATATCTTTATATAAAAACTACACAGAAGCATTCTGAGAAACATCCTTGTGAGGTGTGCACTGAAGTCACAGAGTTGAAACTGTCTTTTGATTCAGCAGTTTTGAATCTCTCTTTTTGCAGAATCTGTGAGTGGATATTTGGAGCGCTTTGAGGCCTACTGTGGAAAACCAAATATCTTCACATAAAAACTACACAGAAGCATCCTGAGAAACTTTTTTTGTGATGTGGTCTTTCAGCTAATGGAGTAGAAACTATCTTTTGATTGAGCAGTTTTGAATCTCTCTTTTTGCAGAATCTACGAGTGGATAATTGGAGAACTTTGAGGCGTACTGTGGAAAATCGAATATCTTCGCATAAAAACTACACAGAAGCATTCTGAGAAACTTCTCTGTCATACGTACATTCATCTCACAGGGTTGATCCTATTTCATGATTGAGCAGTTTTGGAACACTCTTTTTGTAGAATCTGCAAGTGAATATTTGGAGCTCCTTGGGGCCTACTGTGGAAAAACAAATATCTTCACATAAAAACTACACAGAAGCATTCTGAGAAACTACTTTGTGATGTGTGCATTCATCCCACAGAGTAGAACCTTTCTTTTGATTGAGCAGTTTCGAAACACTCTTTTGGTGGAATCTGCAAGTGGACATTTGGAAAGCTTTGAGGCCTATTGTGGAAAGGGAAATATCTTCAAATAAAAACCACCCAGAAGTACTCTGTGAAACTTCTTTGCGATGTATGCATTCAACTCACAGTGTTGAACCTATGTTTTGATTGAGCAGTTTGGAATCTCTCTTTCTGTAGAATCTGCAAGTGAATATTTGGAGCCCTATTTCGCCCTATACTGGAAAAGCAATTATCTTCAAATAAAAACTGCACAGAAGCATTCAGAGAAACTTCTTTGAGATGAATGCATTCATGACACAGAGTTGAAACTTTGTTTTGATTTAGGAGTTTTGAGACAATCTTTCCGTAGAATCTTGAAGTGAATATTTGGAGGGCTTGGAGTTCTGTTTTAGAGAAGGAGATATCTTCATCAAAAACTACACAGAAGCTTTCTGAGAAACTTCTTTGTGATGTGTGCATTCAACTATCGGAGTTGAACCTATCTTATGATTGAGGGGTTTGGAAACACTCTTTGTAGAGTCTGCAAGTGGATATTTACAGAGATTTGAGGCCTATTGTGGAAAAGGAAGTATCTTCACATAAAAACCACACAGAAGCACTCTGAAAAACATCTTTGGGATGTGTGCATTCAACTAACCGTGTTGAAACAATGTTTTGATTGAGCAGCTTAGAATCTCTCTTTTTGTAGGAAATGCAAGTGGATATTTGGAGCCCCATTTCGCCCTATGGTGGAAAACGAAACATACTCACAAAAAAGCTGCAGAGAAGCATTCTGAGAAACTTCTTTGCGATGTTGGCATTCAACTCACAGAGTCGAATCTATCTTTTGATAGAGCAGTTTTGTATCTCTCTTTTTGCAGAATCTGCAAGTGGATATTTGGAAAGCTTTGAGGCCTATTGTGGAAAGGGAAATATCCTCAAATAAAAACTACCCAGAAGCACTCTGTGAAACTTCTTTGTGATGTGTGCATTCAACTCACAGTGTTGAACCTATGTTTTGATTGAGCAGTTTGGAATCTCTCCTTTTGTAGAATCTGCAAGTGAATATTTGGAGCCCTATTTCGCCCTATACTGGAAAAGCAAATATCTTCAAATAAAAACTACACAGAGGCATTCAGAGAAACTTCTCTGTGATGAGTGCATTCATCACACAGAGTTGAACATTTGTTTAGATTTAGCAGTGTTGAGACAATCTTTCCGTAGAATCTTGAAGTGAATATTTGGAGGGCTTTGAGACCTGCTTTGGAGAAGAGATATCTTCATATAAAAACTACACAGAAGCTTTCTGAGAAACACCCTTGTGAGGTGTGCATTGAAGTCACAGAGTTAAACCTATCTTTTGATTCAGCAGATTTGAATCTCTCTTTTTGCAGAATCTGCGAGTGGATATTTGGAGTGCTTGGAAGCCTGCTGTGGAAAATCAAATATCTTCACAAAAAAAACTACACAGAAGCATTCTGAGAAACTTCTTTGTGATGTGTGCATTGATCTCACAGAGTTGAAAGTTTATTTTGATTGAGCTGTTTTGAAACACTCTTTTTCTAGAATCTGCAAGTGGATAATTGGGGAGATTTGAGGCATATTGTGGAAAAGCAAATATCTTCATATAGAAACTATACAGAAACCTTCTGAGAAACATCTTTGTGATGTGTGCATTCAGCTCACAGAGCTGGACCTAACTTTTGAGTGACCAGTTTTGAATCTCTCTTTTTGTACAATATGCAAGTGGATATTTGGAGCGATTTGAGGCCTACATTTGAAAATCAAATATCTTCCCTTAAAAACTACACAGAAACATTCTCAGAAATTGTTTGTCATGTGTGCTTTCCAATTACCAAGTTGAACCTATCTTGTGATTGAGCAGTTTTGAATCTCTCTTTTTGTGGAATCGGCAAGTGGATATTTTTAGCCCTTTGCGGACTGTGGTGGAAAAGGAATTATCTTCAAATCAATTCTACACAGAAGCATTCAGACAAACTTCTTTGTGATGAGTGCATTGGTCACACAGAATTGAACCTTCCCTTTGATTGAGCAATTCTGAAACACTCTTTTGGAGGGTCTGCAAGTGGACATTTTAGAGCTTTGGGACAACTGTGGAAAAGTAAATACCTTCACATAAAAACTGCACGGAAGCATTCTGAGAAACTTCTTTGGAGGTGTGCATTCAACTCACAGAGTTGAACCTATCTTTTCATTGAGCAGTTTTGAATCTCTCATTTTGTAGACTCTGCTCGCAGATATTTGGAGAGCTTTGAGGCCTATTGTGGAAAAGGAAATATCTTCACATAAAAACACACAGAAGCACTCTGAGAAACTGCTTTGTGAGGTGTGCTTTCAACTCACAGAGTTGAACCTATCTTTTGATTGAGAAGTTTTGAATCTCTCTTTTTGTAGAAGCTGCATGTGGATATTTGGAGACGTTTGTGGCCTATGGTAGAAAAGGAAATATCTTCAAATAAAAAGTAGACAGACGCATTTTGAGAAAATTCTCTGTGCTGTGTGCATTCATATCACATGGTTGAAACTACCTTTGGATTGAGCAGTTTTGAATCTCACTTTTTGTACCATCTGCAATGGATATTTGGAGCCCTTTCTGGTCTGTGGTGGAAAAGGAACTATCCTCAAATAGAAACTACACAGAAGTACTCTGAGAAACTTCTTTGTGATGTGGGCATTCATCTCACAGAGTTGAACCTTTGGTTTGATTGAGCAGTTTTGAGACAATCTTTCCATAGAATCTGGAAGTGAATATTTGGAGAACTTTGAGATCCATTTTGGAGAAGGAGATATCTTTATATAAAAACTACACAGAAGCATTCTGAGAAACATCCTTGTGAGGTGTGCACTGAAGTCACAGAGTTGAAACTGTCTTTTGATTCAGCAGTTTTGAATCTCTCTTTTTGCAGAATCTGTGAGTGGATATTTGGAGCGCTTTGAGGCCTACTGTGGAAAACCAAATATCTTCACATAAAAACTACACAGAAGCATCCTGAGAAACTTTTTTTGTGATGTGGTCTTTCAGCTAATGGAGTAGAAACTATCTTTTGATTGAGCAGTTTTGAATCTCTCTTTTTGCGGGATCTACGAGTGGATAATTGGAGAACTTTGAGGCGTACTGTGGAAAGTCGAATATCTTCGCATAAAAACTACACAGAAGCATTCTGAGAAACTTCTCTGTCATACGTACATTCATCTCACAGGGTTGATCCTATTTCATGATGGAGCAGTTTTGGAACACTCTTTTTGTAGAATCTGCAAGTGAATATTTGGAGCTCTTTGGGGCCTACTGTGGAAAAACAAATATCTTCACATAAAAACTACACAGAAGCATTCTGAGAAACTACTTTGTGATGTGTGCATTCATCCCACAGAGTAGAACCTTTCTTTTGATTGAGCAGTTTCGAAACACTCTTTTGGTGGAATCTGCAAGTGGACATTTGGAAAGCTTTGAGGCCTATTGTGGAAAGGGAAATATCTTCAAATAAAAACCACCCAGAAGTACTCTGTGAAACTTCTTTGCGATGTATGCATTCAACTCACAGTGTTGAACCTATGTTTTGATTGAGCAGTTTGGAATCTCTCTTTCTGTAGAATCTGCAAGTGAATATTTGGAGCCCTATTTCGCCCTATACTGGAAAAGCAATTATCTTCAAATAAAAACTGCACAGAAGCATTCAGAGAAACTTCTTTGAGATGAATGCATTCATGACACAGAGTTGAAACTTTGTTTTGATTTAGGAGTTTTGAGACAATCTTTCCGTAGAATCTTGAAGTGAATATTTGGAGGGCTTGGAGTTCTGTTTTAGAGAAGAAGATATCTTCATCAAAAACTACACAGAAGCTTTCTGAGAAACTTCTTTGTGATGTGTGCATTCAACTATCGGAGTTGAACCTATCTTATGATTGAGCAGTTTGGAAACACTCTTTGTGGAGTCTGCAAGTGGATATTTACAGAGATTTGAGGCCTATTGTGGAAAAGGAAGTATCTTCACATAAAAACCACACAGAAGCACTCTGAAAAACGTCTTTGGGATGTGTGCATTCAACTAACCGTGTTGAAACAATGTTTTGATTGAGCAGCTTAGAATCTCTCTTTTTGTAGGAAATGCAAGTGGATATTTGGAGCCCCATTTCGCCCTATGGTGGAAAACGAAACATACTCACAAAAAAGCTGCAGAGAAGCATTCTGAGAAACTTCTTTGCGATGTTGGCATTCAACTCACAGAGTCGAATCTATCTTTTGATAGAGCAGTTTTGTATCTCTGTTTTTGCAGAATCTGCAAGTGGATATTTGGAAAGCTTTGAGGCCTATTGTGGAAAGGGAAATATCCTCAAATAAAAACTACCCAGAAGCACTCTGTGAAACTTCTTTGTGATGTGTGCATTCAACTCACAGTGTTGAACCTATGTTTTGATTGAGCAGTTTGGAATCTCTCCTTTTGTAGAATCTGCAAGTGAATATTTGGAGCCCTATTTCGCCCTATACTGGAAAAGCAAATATCTTCAAATAAAAACTACACAGAGGCATTCAGAGAAACTTCTCTGTGATGAGTGCATTCATCACACAGAGTTGAACATTTGTTTAGATTTAGCAGTGTTGAGACAATCTTTCCGTAGAATCTTGAAGTGAATATTTGGAGGGCTTTGAGACCTGCTTTGGAGAAGGAGATACCCTCATATAAAAACTACACAGAAGCTTTCTGAGAAACACCCTTGTGAGGTGTGCATTGAAGTCACAGAGTTAAACCTATCTTTTGATTCAGCAGATTTGAATCTCTCTTTTTGCAGAATCTGCGAGTGGATATTTGGAGTGCTTGGAAGCCTGCTGTGGAAAATCAAATATCTTCACAAAAAAAACTACACAGAAGCATTCTGAGAAACTTCTTTGTGATGTGTGCATTGATCTCACAGAGTTGAAAGTTTATTTTGATTGAGCTGTTTTGAAACACTCTTTTTCTAGAATCTGCAAGTGGATAATTGGGGAGATTTGAGGCATATTGTGGAAAAGCAAATATCTTCATATAGAAACTATACAGAAACCTTCTGAGAAACATCTTTGTGATGTGTGCATTCAGCTCACAGAGCTGGACCTAACTTTTGAGTGACCAGTTTTGAATCTCTCTTTTTGTACAATATGCAAGTGGATATTTGGAGCGATTTGAGGCCTACATTTGAAAATCAAATATCTTCCCTTAAAAACTACACAGAAACATTCTCAGAAATTGTTTGTCATGTGTGCTTTCCAATTACCAAGTTGAACCTATCTTGTGATTGAGCAGTTTTGAATCTCTCTTTTTGTGGAATCGGCAAGTGGATATTTTTAGCCCTTTGCGGACTGTGGTGGAAAAGGAATTATCTTCAAATCAATTCTACACAGAAGCATTCAGACAAACTTCTTTGTGATGAGTGCATTGGTCACACAGAATTGAACCTTCCCTTTGATTGAGCAATTCTGAAACACTCTTTTGGAGGGTCTGCAAGTGGATATTTTAGAGCTTTGGGACAGCTGTGGAAAAGTAAATATCTTCACATAAAAACTACACGGAAGCATTCTGAGAAACTTCTTTGGAGGTGTGCATTCAACTCACAGAGTTGAACCTATCTTTTCATTGAGCAGTTTTGAATCTCTCATTTTGTAGACTCTGCTCGCAGATATTTGGAGAGCTTTGAGGCCTATTGTGGAAAAGGAAATATCTTCACATAAAAACACACAGAAGCACTCTGAGAAACTTCTTTGTGAGGTGTGCTTTCAACTCACAGAGTTGAACCTATCTTTTGATTGAGAAGTTTTGAATCTCTCTTTTTGTAGAAGCTGCATGTGGATATTTGGAGACGTTTGTGGCCTATGGTAGAAAAGGAAATATCTTCAAATAAAAACTAGACAGACGCATTTTGAGAAAATTCTCTGTGCTGTGTGCATTCATATCACATGGTTGAAACTACCTTTGGATTGAGCAGTTTTGAATCTCACTTTTTGTACCATCTGCAATGGATATTTGGAGCCCTTTCTGGTCTGTGGTGGAAAAGGAACTATCCTCAAATAGGAACTACACAGAAGTACTCTGAGAAACTTCTTTGTGATGTGGGCATTCATCTCACAGAGTTGAACCTTTGGTTTGATTGAGCAGTTTTGAGACAATCTTTCCATGGAATCTGGAAGTGAATATTTGGAGAACTTTGAGATCCATTTTGGAGAAGGAGATATCTTTATATGAAAACTACACAGAAGCATTCTGAGAAACATCCTTGTGAGGTGTGCACTGAAGTCACAGAGTTGAAACTGTCTTTTGATTCAGCAGTTTTGAATCTCTCTTTTTGCAGAATCTGTGAGTGGATATTTGGAGCGCTTTGAGGCCTACTGTGGAAAACCAAATATCTTCACATAAAAACTACACAGAAGCATCCTGAGAAACTTTTTTTGTGATGTGGTCTTTCAGCTAATGGAGTAGAAACTATCTTTTGATTGAGCAGTTTTGAATCTCTCTTTTTGCAGAATCTACGAGTGGATAATTGGAGAACTTTGAGGCGTACTGTGGAAAGTCGAATATCTTCGCATAAAAACTACACAGAAGCATTCTGAGAAACTTCTCTGTCATACGTACATTCATCTCACAGGGTTGATCCTATTTCATGATTGAGCAGTTTTGGAACACTCTTTTTGTAGAATCTGCAAGTGAATATTTGGAGCTCTTTGGGGCCTACTGTGGAAAAACAAATATCTTCACATAAAAACTACACAGAAGCATTCTGAGAAACTACTTTGTGATGTGTGCATTCATCCCACAGAGTAGAACCTTTCTTTTGATTGAGCAGTTTCGAAACACTCTTTTGGTGGAATCTGCAAGTGGACATTTGGAAAGCTTTGAGGCCTATTGTGGAAAGGGAAATATCTTCAAATAAAAACCACCCAGAAGTACTCTGTGAAACTTCTTTGCGATGTATGCATTCAACTCACAGTGTTGAACCTATGTTTTGATTGAGCAGTTTGGAATCTCTCTTTCTGTAGAATCTGCAAGTGAATATTTGGAGCCCTATTTCGCCCTATACTGGAAAAGCAATTATCTTCAAATAAAAACTGCACAGAAGCACTCAGAGAAACTTCTTTGTGATGAATGCATTCATCACACAGAGTTGAACCTTTGTTTTGATTTAGCAGTTTGAGACAATCTTTCCGTAGAATCTTGAAGTGAATATTTGGAGGGCTTGGAGTTCTGTTTTAGAGAAGAAGATATCTTCATCAAAAACTACACAGAAGCTTTCCGAGAAACTTCTTTGTGATGTGTGCATTCAACTATCGGAGTTGAACCTATCTTATGATTGAGGAGTTTGGAAACACTCTTTGTAGAGTCTGCAAGTGGATATTTACAGAGATTTGAGGCCTATTGTGGAAAAGGAAGTATCTTCACATAAAAACCACACAGAAGCACTCTGAAAAACATCTTTGGGATGTGTGCATTCAACTAACCGTGTTGAAACAATGTTTTGATTGAGCAGCTTAGAATCTCTCTTTTTGTAGGAAATGCAAGTGGATATTTGGAGCCCCATTTCGCCCTATGGTGGAAAACGAAACATACTCACAAAAAAGCTGCAGAGAAGCATTCTGAGAAACTTCTTTGCGATGTTGGCATTCAACTCACAGAGTCGAATCTATCTTTTGATAGAGCAGTTTTGTATCTCTCTTTTTGCAGAATCTGCAAGTGGATATTTGGAAAGCTTTGAGGCCTATTGTGGAAAGGGAAATATCCTCAAATAAAAACTACCCAGAAGCACTCTGTGAAACTTCTTTGTGATGTGTGCATTCAACTCACAGTGTTGAACCTATGTTTTGATTGAGCAGTTTGGAATCTCTCCTTTTGTAGAATCTGCAAGTGAATATTTGGAGCCCTATTTCGCCCTATACTGGAAAAGCAAATATCTTCAAATAAAAACTACACAGAGGCATTCAGAGAAACTTCTCTGTGATGAGTGCATTCATCACACAGAGTTGAACATTTGTTTAGATTTAGCAGTGTTGAGACAATCTTTCCGTAGAATCTTGAAGTGAATATTTGGAGGGCTTTGAGACCTGCTTTGGAGAAGGAGATATCTTCATATAAAAACTACACAGAAGCTTTCTGAGAAACACCCTTGTGAGGTGTGCATTGAAGTCACAGAGTTAAACCTATCTTTTGATTCAGCAGATTTGAATCTCTCTTTTTGCAGAATCTGCGAGTGGATATTTGGAGTGCTTGGAAGCCTGCTGTGGAAAATCAAATATCTTCACAAAAAAAACTACACAGAAGCATTCTGAGAAACTTCTTTGTGATGTGTGCATTGATCTCACAGAGTTGAAAGTTTATTTTGATTGAGCTGTTTTGAAACACTCTTTTTCTAGAATCTGCAAGTGGATAATTGGGGAGATTTGAGGCATATTGTGGAAAAGCAAATATCTTCATATAGAAACTATACAGAAACCTTCTGAGAAACATCTTTGTGATGTGTGCATTCAGCTCACAGAGCTGGACCTAACTTTTGAGTGACCAGTTTTGAATCTCTCTTTTTGTACAATATGCAAGTGGATATTTGGAGCGATTTGAGGCCTACATTTGAAAATCAAATATCTTCCCCTTAAAAACTACACAGAAACATTCTCAGAAATTGTTTGTCATGTGTGCTTTCCAATTACCAAGTTGAACCTATCTTGTGATTGAGCAGTTTTGAATCTCTCTTTTTGTGGAATCGGCAAGTGGATATTTTTAGCCCTTTGCGGACTGTGGTGGAAAAGGAATTATCTTCAAATCAATTCTACACAGAAGCATTCAGACAAACTTCTTTGTGATGAGTGCATTGGTCACACAGAATTGAACCTTCCCTTTGATTGAGCAATTCTGAAACACTCTTTTGGAGGGTCTGCAAGTGGACATTTTAGAGCTTTGGGACAACTGTGGAAAAGTAAATATCTTCACATAAAAACTACACGGAAGCATTCTGAGAAACTTCTTTGGAGGTGTGCATTCAACTCACAGAGTTGAACCTATCTTTTCATTGAGCAGTTTTGAATCTCTCATTTTGTAGACTCTGCTCGCAGATATTTGGAGAGCTTTGAGGCCTATTGTGGAAAAGGAAATATCTTCACATAAAAACACACAGAAGCACTCTGAGAAACTTCTTTGTGAGGTGTGCTTTCAACTCACAGAGTTGAACCTATCTTTTGATTGAGAAGTTTTGAATCTCTCTTTTTGTAGAAGCTGCATGTGGATATTTGGAGACGTTTGTGGCCTATGGTAGAAAAGGAAATATCTTCAAATAAAAACTAGACAGACGCATTTTGAGAAAATTCTCTGTGCTGTGTGCATTCATATCACATGGTTGAAACTACCTTTGGATTGAGCAGTTTTGAATCTCACTTTTTGTACCATCTGCAATGGATATTTGGAGCCCTTTCTGGTCTGTGGTGGAAAAGGAACTATCCTCAAATAGAAACTACACAGAAGTACTCTGAGAAACTTCTTTGTGATGTGGGCATTCATCTCACAGAGTTGAACCTTTGGTTTGATTGAGCAGTTTTGAGACAATCTTTCCATAGAATCTGGAAGTGAATATTTGGAGAACTTTGAGATCCATTTTGGAGAAGGAGATATCTTTATATGAAAACTACACAGAAGCATTCTGAGAAACATCCTTGTGAGGTGTGCACTGAAGTCACAGAGTTGAAACTGTCTTTTGATTCAGCAGTTTTGAATCTCTCTTTTTGCAGAATCTGTGAGTGGATATTTGGAGCGCTTTGAGGCCTACTGTGGAAAACCAAATATCTTCACATAAAAACTACACAGAAGCATCCTGAGAAACTTTTTTTGTGATGTGGTCTTTCAGCTAATGGAGTAGAAACTATCTTTTGATTGAGCAGTTTTGAATCTCTCTTTTTGCAGAATCTACGAGTGGATAATTGGAGAACTTTGAGGCGTACTGTGGAAAATCGAATATCTTCGCATAAAAACTACACAGAAGCATTCTGAGAAACTTCTCTGTCATACGTACATTCATCTCACAGGGTTGATCCTATTTCATGATTGAGCAGTTTTGGAACACTCTTTTTGTAGAATCTGCAAGTGAATATTTGGAGCTCTTTGGGGCCTACTGTGGAAAAACAAATATCTTCACATAAAAACTACACAGAAGCATTCTGAGAAACTACTTTGTGATGTGTGCATTCATCCCACAGAGTAGAACCTTTCTTTTGATTGAGCAGTTTCGAAACACTCTTTTGGTGGAATCTGCAAGTGGACATTTGGAAAGCTTTGAGGCCTATTGTGGAAAGGGAAATATCTTCAAATAAAAACCACCCAGAAGTACTCTGTGAAACTTCTTTGCGATGTATGCATTCAACTCACAGTGTTGAACCTATGTTTTGATTGAGCAGTTTGGAATCTCTCTTTCTGTAGAATCTGCAAGTGAATATTTGGAGCCCTATTTCGCCCTATACTGGAAAAGCAATTATCTTCAAATAAAAACTGCACAGAAGCACTCAGAGAAACTTCTTTGTGATGAATGCATTCATCACACAGAGTTGAACCTTTGTTTTGATTTAGCAGTTTGAGACAATCTTTCCGTAGAATCTTGAAGTGAATATTTGGAGGGCTTGGAGTTCTGTTTTAGAGAAGAAGATATCTTCATCAAAAACTACACAGAAGCTTTCTGAGAAACTTCTTTGTGATGTGTGCATTCAACTATCGGAGTTGAACCTATCTTATGATTGAGCAGTTTGGAAACACTCTTTGTGGAGTCTGCAAGTGGATATTTACAGAGATTTGAGGCCTATTGTGGAAAAGGAAGTATCTTCACATAAAAACCACACAGAAGCACTCTGAAAAACGTCTTTGGGATGTGTGCATTCAACTAACCGTGTTGAAACAATGTTTTGATTGAGCAGCTTAGAATCTCTCTTTTTGTAGGAAATGCAAGTGGATATTTGGAGCCCCATTTCGCCCTATGGTGGAAAACGAAACATACTCACAAAAAAGCTGCAGAGAAGCATTCTGAGAAACTTCTTTGCGATGTTGGCATTCAACTCACAGAGTCGAATCTATCTTTTGATAGAGCAGTTTTGTATCTCTCTTTTTGCAGAATCTGCAAGTGGATATTTGGAAAGCTTTGAGGCCTATTGTGGAAAGGGAAATATCCTCAAATAAAAACTACCCAGAAGCACTCTGTGAAACTTCTTTGTGATGTGTGCATTCAACTCACAGTGTTGAACCTATGTTTTGATTGAGCAGTTTGGAATCTCTCCTTTTGTAGAATCTGCAAGTGAATATTTGGAGCCCTATTTCGCCCTATACTGGAAAAGCAAATATCTTCAAATAAAAACTACACAGAGGCATTCAGAGAAACTTCTCTGTGATGAGTGCATTCATCACACAGAGTTGAACATTTGTTTAGATTTAGCAGTGTTGAGACAATCTTTCCGTAGAATCTTGAAGTGAATATTTGGAGGGCTTTGAGACCTGCTTTGGAGAAGGAGATATCTTCATATAAAAACTACACAGAAGCTTTCTGAGAAACACCCTTGTGAGGTGTGCATTGAAGTCACAGAGTTAAACCTATCTTTTGATTCAGCAGATTTGAATCTCTCTTTTTGCAGAATCTGCGAGTGGATATTTGGAGTGCTTGGAAGCCTGCTGTGGAAAATCAAATATCTTCACAAAAAAAACTACACAGAAGCATTCTGAGAAACTTCTTTGTGATGTGTGCATTGATCTCACAGAGTTGAAAGTTTATTTTGATTGAGCTGTTTTGAAACACTCTTTTTCTAGAATCTGCAAGTGGATAATTGGGGAGATTTGAGGCATATTGTGGAAAAGCAAATATCTTCATATAGAAACTATACAGAAACCTTCTGAGAAACATCTTTGTGATGTGTGCATTCAGCTCACAGAGCTGGACCTAACTTTTGAGTGACCAGTTTTGAATCTCTCTTTTTGTACAATATGCAAGTGGATATTTGGAGCGATTTGAGGCCTACATTTGAAAATCAAATATCTTCCCTTAAAAACTACACAGAAACATTCTCAGAAATTGTTTGTCATGTGTGCTTTCCAATTACCAAGTTGAACCTATCTTGTGATTGAGCAGTTTTGAATCTCTCTTTTTGTGGAATCGGCAAGTGGATATTTTTAGCCCTTTGCGGACTGTGGTGGAAAAGGAATTATCTTCAAATCAATTCTACACAGAAGCATTCAGACAAACTTCTTTGTGATGAGTGCATTGGTCACACAGAATTGAACCTTCCCTTTGATTGAGCAATTCTGAAACACTCTTTTGGAGGGTCTGCAAGTGGACATTTTAGAGCTTTGGGACAACTGTGGAAAAGTAAATATCTTCACATAAAAACTACACGGAAGCATTCTGAGAAACTTCTTTGGAGGTGTGCATTCAACTCACAGAGTTGAACCTATCTTTTCATTGAGCAGTTTTGAATCTCTCATTTTGTAGACTCTGCTCGCAGATATTTGGAGAGCTTTGAGGCCTATTGTGGAAAAGGAAATATCTTCACATAAAAACACACAGAAGCACTCTGAGAAACTTCTCTGTGAGGTGTGCTTTCAACTCACAGAGTTGAACCTATCTTTTGATTGAGAAGTTTTGAATCTCTCTTTTTGTAGAAGCTGCATGTGGATATTTGGAGACGTTTGTGGCCTATGGTAGAAAAGGAAATATCTTCAAATAAAAACTAGACAGACGCATTTTGAGAAAATTCTCTGTGCTGTGTGCATTCATATCACATGGTTGAAACTACCTTTGGATTGAGCAGTTTTGAATCTCACTTTTTGTACCATCTGCAATGGATATTTGGAGCCCTTTCTGGTCTGTGGTGGAAAAGGAACTATCCTCAAATAGAAACTACACAGAAGTACTCTGAGAAACTTCTTTGTGATGTGGGCATTCATCTCACAGAGTTGAACCTTTGGTTTGATTGAGCAGTTTTGAGACAATCTTTCCATAGAATCTGGAAGTGAATATTTGGAGAACTTTGAGATCCATTTTGGAGAAGGAGATATCTTTATATAAAAACTACACAGAAGCATTCTGAGAAACATCCTTGTGAGGTGTGCACTGAAGTCACAGAGTTGAAACTGTCTTTTGATTCAGCAGTTTTGAATCTCTCTTTTTGCAGAATCTGTGAGTGGATATTTGGAGCGCTTTGAGGCCTACTGTGGAAAACCAAATATCTTCACATAAAAACTACACAGAAGCATCCTGAGAAACTTTTTTTGTGATGTGGTCTTTCAGCTAATGGAGTAGAAACTATCTTTTGATTGAGCAGTTTTGAATCTCTCTTTTTGCATAATCTACGAGTGGATAATTGGAGAACTTTGAGGCGTACTGTGGAAAATCGAATATCTTCGCATAAAAACTACACAGAAGCATTCTGAGAAACTTCTCTGTCATACGTACATTCATCTCACAGGGTTGATCCTATTTCATGATTGAGCAGTTTTGGAACACTCTTTTTGTAGAATCTGCAAGTGAATATTTGGAGCTCTTTGGGGCCTACTGTGGAAAAACAAATATCTTCACATAAAAACTACACAGAAGCATTCTGAGAAACTACTTTGTGATGTGTGCATTCATCCCACAGAGTAGAACCTTTCTTTTGATTGAGCAGTTTCGAAACACTCTTTTGGTGGAATCTGCAAGTGGACATTTGGAAAGCTTTGAGGCCTATTGTGGAAAGGGAAATATCTTCAAATAAAAACCACCCAGAAGTACTCTGTGAAACTTCTTTGCGATGTATGCATTCAACTCACAGTGTTGAACCTATGTTTTGATTGAGCAGTTTGGAATCTCTCTTTCTGTAGAATCTGCAAGTGAATATTTGGAGCCCTATTTCGCCCTATACTGGAAAAGCAATTATCTTCAAATAAAAACTGCACAGGAAGCACTCAGAGAAACTTCTTTGTGATGAATGCATTCATCACACAGAGTTGAACCTTTGTTTTGATTTAGCAGTTTGAGACAATCTTTCCGTAGAATCTTGAAGTGAATATTTGGAGGGCTTGGAGTTCTGTTTTAGAGAAGAAGATATCTTCATCAAAAACTACACAGAAGCTTTCTGAGAAACTTCTTTGTGATGTGTGCATTCAACTATCGGAGTTGAACCTATCTTATGATTGAGGAGTTTGGAAACACTCTTTGTAGAGTCTGCAAGTGGATATTTACAGAGATTTGAGGCCTATTGTGGAAAAGGAAGTATCTTCACATAAAAACCACACAGAAGCACTCTGAAAAAAATCTTTGGGATATGTGCATTCAACTAACCGTGTTGAAACAATGTTTTGATTGAGCAGCTTAGAATCTCTATTTTTGTAGGAAATGCAAGTGGATATTTGGAGCCCCATTTCGCCCTATGGTGGAAAACGAAACATACTCACAAAAAAGCTGCAGAGAAAGCATTCTGAGAAACTTCTTTGCGATGTTGGCATTCAACTCACAGAGTCGAATCTATCTTTTGATAGAGCAGTTTTGTATCTCTCTTTTTGCAGAATCTGCAAGTGGATATTTGGAAAGCTTTGAGGCCTATTGTGGAAAGGGAAATATCCTCAAATAAAAACTACCCAGAAGCACTCTGTGAAACTTCTTTGTGATGTGTGCATTCAACTCACAGTGTTGAACCTATGTTTTGATTGAGCAGTTTGGAATCTCTCCTTTTGTAGAATCTGCAAGTGAATATTTGGAGCCCTATTTCGCCCTATACTGGAAAAGCAAATATCTTCAAATAAAAACTACACAGAGGCATTCAGAGAAACTTCTCTGTGATGAGTGCATTCATCACACAGAGTTGAACATTTGTTTAGATTTAGCAGTGTTGAGACAATCTTTCCGTAGAATCTTGAAGTGAATATTTGGAGGGCTTTGAGACCTGCTTTGGAGAAGGAGATATCTTCATATAAAAACTACACAGAAGCTTTCTGAGAAACACCCTTGTGAGGTGTGCATTGAAGTCACAGAGTTAAACCTATCTTTTGATTCAGCAGATTTGAATCTCTCTTTTTGCAGAATCTGCGAGTGGATATTTGGAGTGCTTGGAAGCCTGCTGTGGAAAATCAAATATCTTCACAAAAAAAACTACACAGAAGCATTCTGAGAAACTTCTTTGTGATGTGTGCATTGATCTCACAGAGTTGAAAGTTTATTTTGATTGAGCTGTTTTGAAACACTCTTTTTCTAGAATCTGCAAGTGGATAATTGGGGAGATTTGAGGCATATTGTGGAAAAGCAAATATCTTCATATAAAAACTATACAGAAACCTTCTGAGAAACATCTTTGTGATGTGTGCATTCAGCTCACAGAGCTGGACCTAACTTTTGAGTGACCAGTTTTGAATCTCTCTTTTTGTACAATATGCAAGTGGATATTTGGAGCGATTTGAGGCCTACATTTGAAAATCAAATATCTTCCCTTAAAAACTACACAGAAACATTCTCAGAAATTGTTTGTCATGTGTGCTTTCCAATTACCAAGTTGAACCTATCTTGTGATTGAGCAGTTTTGAATCTCTCTTTTTGTGGAATCGGCAAGTGGATATTTTTAGCCCTTTGCGGACTGTGGTGGAAAAGGAATTATCTTCAAATCAATTCTACACAGAAGCATTCAGACAAACTTCTTTGTGATGAGTGCATTGGTCACACAGAATTGAACCTTCCCTTTGATTGAGCAATTATGAAACACTCTTTTGGAGGGTCTGCAAGTGGATATTTTAGAGCTTTGGGACAACTGTGGAAAAGTAAATATCTTCACATAAAAACTACACGGAAGCATTCTGAGAAACTTCTTTGGAGGTGTGCATTCAACTCACAGAGTTGAACCTATCTTTTCATTGAGCAGTTTTGAATCTCTCATTTTGTAGACTCTGCTCGCAGATATTTGGAGAGCTTTGAGGCCTATTGTGGAAAAGGAAATATCTTCACATAAAAACACACAGAAGCACTCTGAGAAACTTCTTTGTGAGGTGTGCTTTCAACTCACAGAGTTGAACCTATCTTTTGATTGAGAAGTTTTGAATCTCTCTTTTTGTAGAAGCTGCATGTGGATATTTGGAGACGTTTGTGGCCTATGGTAGAAAAGGAAATATCTTCAAATAAAAACTAGACAGGCGCATTTTGAGAAAATTCTCTGTGCTGTGTGCATTCATATCACATGGTTGAAACTACCTTTGGATTGAGCAGTTTTGAATCTCACTTTTTGTACCATCTGCAATGGATATCTGGAGCCCTTTCTGGTCTGTGGTGGAAGAGGAACTATCCTCAAGTAGAAACTACACAGAAGTACTCTGAGAAACTTCTTTGTGATGTGTGCATTCATCTCACAGAGTTGAACCTTTGGTTTGATTGAGCAGTTTTGAGACAATCTTTCCATAGAATCTGGAAGTGAATATTTGGAGAACTTTGAGATCCATTTTGGAGAAGGAGATATCTTTATATAAAAACTACACAGAAGCATTCTGAGAAACATCCTTGTGAGGTGTGCACTGAAGTCACAGAGTTGAAACTGTCTTTTGATTCAGCAGTTTTGAATCTCTCTTTTTGCAGAATCTGTGAGTGGATATTTGGAGCGCTTTGAGGCCTACTGTGGAAAACCAAATATCTTCACATAAAAACTACACAGAAGCATCCTGAGAAACTTTTTTTGTGATGTGGTCTTTCAGCTGATGGAGTAGAAACTATCTTTTGATTGAGCAGTTTTGAATCTCTCTTTTTGCAGAATCTACGAGTGGATAATTGGAGAACTTTGAGGCGTACTGTGGAAAATCGAATATCTTCGCATAAAAACTACACAGAAGCATTCTGAGAAACTTCTCTGTCATACGTACATTCATCTCACAGGGTTGATCCTATTTCATGATTGAGCAGTTTTGGAACACTCTTTTTGTAGAATCTGCAAGTGAATATTTGGAGCTCTTTGGGGCCTACTGTGGAAAAACAAATATCTTCACATAAAAACTACACAGAAGCATTCTGAGAAACTACTTTGTGATGTGTGCATTCATCCCACAGAGTAGAACCTTTCTTTTGATTGAGCAGTTTCGAAACACTCTTTTGGTGGAATCTGCAAGTGGACATTTGGAAAGCTTTGAGGCCTATTTTGGAAAGGGAAATATCTTCAAATAAAAACCACCCAGAAGTACTCTGTGAAACTTCTTTGCGATGTATGCATTCAACTCACAGTGTTGAACCTATGTTTTGATTGAGCAGTTTGGAATCTCTCTTTCTGTAGAATCTGCAAGTGAATATTTGGAGCCCTATTTCGCCCTATACTGGAAAAGCAATTATCTTCAAATAAAAACTGCACAGAAGCACTCAGAGAAACTTCTTTGTGATGAATGCATTCATCACACAGAATTGAACCTTTGTTTTGATTTAGCAGTTTGAGACAATCTTTCCGTAGAATCTTGAAGTGAATATTTGGAGGGCTTGGAGTTCTGTTTTAGAGAAGAAGATATCTTCATCAAAAACTACACAGAAGCTTTCTGAGAAACTTCTTTGTGATGTGTGCATTCAACTATCGGAGTTGAACCTATCTTATGATTGAGGAGTTTGGAAACACTCTTTGTAGAGTCTGCAAGTGGATATTTACAGAGATTTGAGGCCTATTGTGGAAAAGGAAGTATCTTCACATAAAAACCACACAGAAGCACTCTGAAAAACATCTTTGGGATGTGTGCATTCAACTAACCGTGTTGAAACAATGTTTTGATTGAGCAGCTTAGAATCTCTCTTTTTGTAGGAAATGCAAGTGGATATTTGGAGCCCCATTTCGCCCTATGGTGGAAAACGAAACATACTCACAAAAAAGCTGCAGAGAAGCATTCTGAGAAACTTCTTTGCGATGTTGGCATTCAACTCACAGAGTCGAATCTATCTTTTGATAGAGCAGTTTTGTATCTCTCTTTTTGCAGAATCTGCAAGTGGATATTTGGAAAGCTTTGAGGCCTATTGTGGAAAGGGAAATATCCTCAAATAAAAACTACCCAGAAGCACTCTGTGAAACTTCTTTGTGATGTGTGCATTCAACTCACAGTGTTGAACCTATGTTTTGATTGAGCAGTTTGGAATCTCTCCTTTTGTAGAATCTGCAAGTGAATATTTGGAGCCCTATTTCGCCCTATACTGGAAAAGCAAATATCTTCAAATAAAAACTACACAGAGGCATTCAGAGAAACTTCTCTGTGATGAGTGCATTCATCACACAGAGTTGAACATTTGTTTAGATTTAGCAGTGTTGAGACAATCTTTCCGTAGAATCTTGAAGTGAATATTTGGAGGGCTTTGAGACCTGCTTTGGAGAAGGAGATATCTTCATATAAAAACTACACAGAAGCTTTCTGAGAAACACCCTTGTGAGGTGTGCATTGAAGTCACAGAGTTAAACCTATCTTTTGATTCAGCAGATTTGAATCTCTCTTTTTGCAGAATCTGCGAGTGGATATTTGGAGTGCTTGGAAGCCTGCTGTGGAAAATCAAATATCTTCACAAAAAAAACTACACAGAAGCATTCTGAGAAACTTCTTTGTGATGTGTGCATTGATCTCACAGAGTTGAAAGTTTATTTTGATTGAGCTGTTTTGAAACACTCTTTTTCTAGAATCTGCAAGTGGATAATTGGGGAGATTTGAGGCATATTGTGGAAAAGCCAATATCTTCATATAGAAACTATACAGAAACCTTCTGAGAAACATCTTTGTGATGTGTGCATTCAGCTCACAGAGCTGGACCTAACTTTTGAGTGACCAGTTTTGAATCTCTCTTTTTGTACAATATGCAAGTGGATATTTGGAGCGATTTGAGGCCTACATTTGAAAATCAAATATCTTCCCTTAAAAACTACACAGAAACATTCTCAGAAATTGTTTGTCATGTGTGCTTTCCAATTACCAAGTTGAACCTATCTTGTGATTGAGCAGTTTTGAATCTCTCTTTTTGTGGAATCGGCAAGTGGATATTTTTAGCCCTTTGCGGACTGTGGTGGAAAAGGAATTATCTTCAAATCAATTCTACACAGAAGCATTCAGACAAACTTCTTTGTGATGAGTGCATTGGTCACACAGAATTGAACCTTCCCTTTGATTGAGCAATTCTGAAACACTCTTTTGGAGGGTCTGCAAGTGGATATTTTAGAGCTTTGGGACAACTGTGGAAAAGTAAATATCTTCACATAAAAACTACACGGAAGCATTCTGAGAAACTTCTTTGGAGGTGTGCATTCAACTCACAGAGTTGAACCTATCTTTTCATTGAGCAGTTTTGAATCTCTCATTTTGTAGACTCTGCTCGCAGATATTTGGAGAGCTTTGAGGCCTATTGTGGAAAAGGAAATATCTTCACATAAAAACACACAGAAGCACTCTGAGAAACTTCTTTGTGAGGTGTGCTTTCAACTCACAGAGTTGAACCTATCTTTTGATTGAGAAGTTTTGAATCTCTCTTTTTGTAGAAGCTGCATGTGGATATTTGGAGACGTTTGTGGCCTATGGTAGAAAAGGAAATATCTTCAAATAAAAACTAGACAGACGCATTTTGAGAAAATTCTCTGTGCTGTGTGCATTCATATCACATGGTTGAAACTACCTTTGGATTGAGCAGTTTTGAATCTCACTTTTTGTACCATCTGCAATGGATATTTGGAGCCCTTTCTGGTCTGTGGTGGAAAAGGAACTATCCTCAAATAGAAACTACACAGAAGTACTCTGAGAAACTTCTTTGTGATGTGGGCATTCATCTCACAGAGTTGAACCTTTGGTTTGATTGAGCAGTTTTGAGACAATCTTTCCATAGAATCTGGAAGTGAATATTTGGAGAACTTTGAGATCCATTTTGGAGAAGGAGATATCTTTATATAAAAACTACACAGAAGCATTCTGAGAAACATCCTTGTGAGGTGTGCACTGAAGTCACAGAGTTGAAACTGTCTTTTGATTCAGCAGTTTTGAATCTCTCTTTTTGCAGAATCTGTGAGTGGATATTTGGAGCGCTTTGAGGCCTACTGTGGAAAACCAAATATCTTCACATAAAAACTACACAGAAGCATCCTGAGAAACTTTTTTTGTGATGTGGTCTTTCAGCTAATGGAGTAGAAACTATCTTTTGATTGAGCAGTTTTGAATCTCTCTTTTTGCGGGATCTACGAGTGGATAATTGGAGAACTTTGAGGCGTACTGTGGAAAGTCGAATATCTTCGCATAAAAACTACACAGAAGCATTCTGAGAAACTTCTCTGTCATACGTACATTCATCTCACAGGGTTGATCCTATTTCATGATTGAGCAGTTTTGGAACACTCTTTTTGTAGAATCTGCAAGTGAATATTTGGAGCTCTTTGGGGCCTACTGTGGAAAAACAAATATCTTCACATAAAAACTACACAGAAGCATTCTGAGAAACTACTTTGTGATGTGTGCATTCATCCCACAGAGTAGAAC
This sequence comes from Homo sapiens, assembly GCF_000001405.40. NCBI lineage: Eukaryota > Metazoa > Chordata > Mammalia > Primates > Hominidae > Homo > Homo sapiens. The sequence goes on from NC_000015.10 coordinate 18,122,529, forward strand.
CTTTCTTTTGATTGAGCAGTTTCGAAACACTCTTTTGGTGGAATCTGCAAGTGGACATTTGGAAAGCTTTGAGGCCTATTGTGGAAAGGGAAATATCTTCAAATAAAAACCACCCAGAAGTACTCTGTGAAACTTCTTTGCGATGTATGCATTCAACTCACAGTGTTGAACCTATGTTTTGATTGAGCAGTTTGGAATCTCTCTTTCTGTAGAATCTGCAAGTGAATATTTGGAGCCCTATTTCGCCCTATACTGGAAAAGCAATTATCTTCAAATAAAAACTGCACAGAAGCACTCAGAGAAACTTCTTTGTGATGAATGCATTCATCACACAGAGTTGAACCTTTGTTTTGATTTAGCAGTTTGAGACAATCTTTCCGTAGAATCTTGAAGTGAATATTTGGAGGGCTTGGAGTTCTGTTTTAGAGAAGAAGATATCTTCATCAAAAACTACACAGAAGCTTTCTGAGAAACTTCTTTGTGATGTGTGCATTCAACTATCGGAGTTGAACCTATCTTATGATTGAGCAGTTTGGAAACACTCTTTGTGGAGTCTGCAAGTGGATATTTACAGAGATTTGAGGCCTATTGTGGAAAAGGAAGTATCTTCACATAAAAACCACACAGAAGCACTCTGAAAAACATCTTTGGGATGTGTGCATTCAACTAACCGTGTTGAAACAATGTTTTGATTGAGCAGCTTAGAATCTCTCTTTTTGTAGGAAATGCAAGTGGATATTTGGAGCCCCATTTCGCCCTATGGTGGAAAACGAAACATACTCACAAAAAAGCTGCAGAGAAGCATTCTGAGAAACTTCTTTGCGATGTTGGCATTCAACTCACAGAGTCGAATCTATCTTTTGATAGAGCAGTTTTGTATCTCTCTTTTTGCAGAATCTGCAAGTGGATATTTGGAAAGCTTTGAGGCCTATTGTGGAAAGGGAAATATCCTCAAATAGAAACTACCCAGAAGCACTCTGTGAAACTTCTTTGTGATGTGTGCATTCAACTCACAGTGTTGAACCTATGTTTTGATTGAGCAGTTTGGAATCTCTCCTTTTGTAGAATCTGCAAGTGAATATTTGGAGCCCTATTTCGCCCTATACTGGAAAAGCAAATATCTTCAAATAAAAACTACACAGAGGCATTCAGAGAAACTTCTCTGTGATGAGTGCATTCATCACACAGAGTTGAACATTTGTTTAGATTTAGCAGTGTTGAGACAATCTTTCCGTAGAATCTTGAAGTGAATATTTGGAGGGCTTTGAGACCTGCTTTGGAGAAGGAGATATCTTCATATAAAAACTACACAGAAGCTTTCTGAGAAACACCCTTGTGAGGTGTGCATTGAAGTCACAGAGTTAAACCTATCTTTTGATTCAGCAGATTTGAATCTCTCTTTTTGCAGAATCTGCGAGTGGATATTTGGAGTGCTTGGAAGCCTGCTGTGGAAAATCAAATATCTTCACAAAAAAAACTACACAGAAGCATTCTGAGAAACTTCTTTGTGATGTGTGCATTGATCTCACAGAGTTGAAAGTTTATTTTGATTGAGCTGTTTTGAAACACTCTTTTTCTAGAATCTGCAAGTGGATAATTGGGGAGATTTGAGGCATATTGTGGAAAAGCAAATATCTTCATATAGAAACTATACAGAAACCTTCTGAGAAACATCTTTGTGATGTGTGCATTCAGCTCACAGAGCTGGACCTAACTTTTGAGTGACCAGTTTTGAATCTCTCTTTTTGTACAATATGCAAGTGGATATTTGGAGCGATTTGAGGCCTACATTTGAAAATCAAATATCTTCCCTTAAAAACTACACAGAAACATTCTCAGAAATTGTTTGTCATGTGTGCTTTCCAATTACCAAGTTGAACCTATCTTGTGATTGAGCAGTTTTGAATCTCTCTTTTTGTGGAATCGGCAAGTGGATATTTTTAGCCCTTTGCGGACTGTGGTGGAAAAGGAATTATCTTCAAATCAATTCTACACAGAAGCATTCAGACAAACTTCTTTGTGATGAGTGCATTGGTCACACAGAATTGAACCTTCCCTTTGATTGAGCAATTCTGAAACACTCTTTTGGAGGGTCTGCAAGTGGACATTTTAGAGCTTTGGGACAACTGTGGAAAAGTAAATATCTTCACATAAAAACTACACGGAAGCATTCTGAGAAACTTCTTTGGAGGTGTGCATTCAACTCACAGAGTTGAACCTATCTTTTCATTGAGCAGTTTTGAATCTCTCATTTTGTAGACTCTGCTCACAGATATTTGGAGAGCTTTGAGGCCTATTGTGGAAAAGGAAATATCTTCACATAAAAACACACAGAAGCACTCTGAGAAACTTCTCTGTGAGGTGTGCTTTCAACTCACAGAGTTGAACCTATCTTTTGATTGAGAAGTTTTGAATCTCTCTTTTTGTAGAAGCTGCATGTGGATATTTGGAGACGTTTGTGGCCTATGGTAGAAAAGGAAATATCTTCAAATAAAAACTAGACAGACGCATTTTGAGAAAATTCTCTGTGCTGTGTGCATTCATATCACATGGTTGAAACTACCTTTGGATTGAGCAGTTTTGAATCTCACTTTTTGTACCATCTGCAATGGATATTTGGAGCCCTTTCTGGTCTGTGGTGGAAAAGGAACTATCCTCAAATAGAAACTACACAGAAGTACTCTGAGAAACTTCTTTGTGATGTGGGCATTCATCTCACAGAGTTGAACCTTTGGTTTGATTGAGCAGTTTTGAGACAATCTTTCCATAGAATCTGGAAGTGAATATTTGGAGAACTTTGAGATCCATTTTGGAGAAGGAGATATCTTTATATAAAAACTACACAGAAGCATTCTGAGAAACATCCTTGTGAGCTGTGCACTGAAGTCACAGAGTTGAAACTGTCTTTTGATTCAGCAGTTTTGAATCTCTCTTTTTGCAGAATCTGTGAGTGGATATTTGGAGCGCTTTGAGGCCTACTGTGGAAAACCAAATATCTTCACATAAAAACTACACAGAAGCATCCTGAGAAACTTTTTTTGTGATGTGGTCTTTCAGCTAATGGAGTAGAAACTATCTTTTGATTGAGCAGTTTTGAATCTCTCTTTTTGCAGGATCTACGAGTGGATAATTGGAGAACTTTGAGGCGTACTGTGGAAAGTCGAATATCTTCGCATAAAAACTACACAGAAGCATTCTGAGAAACTTCTCTGTCATACGTACATTCATCTCACAGGGTTGATCCTATTTCATGATTGAGCAGTTTTGGAACACTCTTTTTGTAGAATCTGCAAGTGAATATTTGGAGCTCTTTGGGGCCTACTGTGGAAAAACAAATATCTTCACATAAAAACTACACAGGAAGCATTCTGAGAAACTACTTTGTGATGTGTGCATTCATCCCACAGAGTAGAACCTTTCTTTTGATTGAGCAGTTTCGAAACACTCTTTTGGTGGAATCTGCAAGTGGACATTTGGAAAGCTTTGAGGCCTATTGTGGAAAGGGAAATATCTTCAAATAAAAACCACCCAGAAGTACTCTGTGAAACTTCTTTGCGATGTATGCATTCAACTCACAGTGTTGAACCTATGTTTTGATTGAGCAGTTTGGAATCTCTCTTTCTGTAGAATCTGCAAGTGAATATTTGGAGCCCTATTTCGCCCTATACTGGAAAAGCAATTATCTTCAAATAAAAACTGCACAGAAGCACTCAGAGAAACTTCTTTGTGATGAATGCATTCATCACACAGAGTTGAACCTTTGTTTTGATTTAGCAGTTTGAGACAATCTTTCCGTAGAATCTTGAAGTGAATATTTGGAGGGCTTGGAGTTCTGTTTTAGAGAAGAAGATATCTTCATCAAAAACTACACAGAAGCTTTCTGAGAAACTTCTTTGTGATGTGTGCATTCAACTATCGGAGTTGAACCTATCTTATGATTGAGGAGTTTGGAAACACTCTTTGTAGAGTCTGCAAGTGGATATTTACAGAGATTTGAGGCCTATTGTGGAAAAGGAAGTATCTTCACATAAAAACCACACAGAAGCACTCTGAAAAACATCTTTGGGATGTGTGCATTCAACTAACCGTGTTGAAACAATGTTTTGATTGAGCAGCTTAGAATCTCTCTTTTTGTAGGAAATGCAAGTGGATATTTGGAGCCCCATTTCGCCCTATGGTGGAAAACGAAACATACTCACAAAAAAGCTGCAGAGAAGCATTCTGAGAAACTTCTTTGCGATGTTGGCATTCAACTCACAGAGTCGAATCTATCTTTTGATAGAGCAGTTTTGTATCTCTCTTTTTGCAGAATCTGCAAGTGGATATTTGGAAAGCTTTGAGGCCTATTGTGGAAAGGGAAATATCCTCAAATAAAAACTACCCAGAAGCACTCTGTGAAACTTCTTTGTGATGTGTGCATTCAACTCACAGTGTTGAACCTATGTTTTGATTGAGCAGTTTGGAATCTCTCCTTTTGTAGAATCTGCAAGTGAATATTTGGAGCCCTATTTCGCCCTATACTGGAAAAGCAAATATCTTCAAATAAAAACTACACAGAGGCATTCAGAGAAACTTCTCTGAGATGAGTGCATTCATCACACAGAGTTGAACATTTGTTTAGATTTAGCAGTGTTGAGACAATCTTTCCGTAGAATCTTGAAGTGAATATTTGGAGGGCTTTGAGACCTGCTTTGGAGAAGGAGATATCTTCATATAAAAACTACACAGAAGCTTTCTGAGAAACACCCTTGTGAGGTGTGCATTGAAGTCACAGAGTTAAACCTATCTTTTGATTCAGCAGATTTGAATCTCTCTTTTTGCAGAATCTGCGAGTGGATATTTGGAGTGCTTGGAAGCCTGCTGTGGAAAATCAAATATCTTCACAAAAAAAACTACACAGAAGCATTCTGAGAAACTTCTTTGTGATGTGTGCATTGATCTCACAGAGTTGAAAGTTTATTTTGATTGAGCTGTTTTGAAACACTCTTTTTCTAGAATCTGCAAGTGGATAATTGGGGAGATTTGAGGCATATTGTGGAAAAGCCAATATCTTCATATAGAAACTATACAGAAACCTTCTGAGAAACATCTTTGTGATGTGTGCATTCAGCTCACAGAGCTGGACCTAACTTTTGAGTGACCAGTTTTGAATCTCTCTTTTTGTACAATATGCAAGTGGATATTTGGAGCGATTTGAGGCCTACATTTGAAAATCAAATATCTTCCCTTAAAAACTACACAGAAACATTCTCAGAAATTGTTTGTCATGTGTGCTTTCCAATTACCAAGTTGAACCTATCTTGTGATTGAGCAGTTTTGAATCTCTCTTTTTGTGGAATCGGCAAGTGGATATTTTTAGCCCTTTGCGGACTGTGGTGGAAAAGGAATTATCTTCAAATCAATTCTACACAGAAGCATTCAGACAAACTTCTTTGTGATGAGTGCATTGGTCACACAGAATTGAACCTTCCCTTTGATTGAGCAATTCTGAAACACTCTTTTGGAGGGTCTGCAAGTGGACATTTTAGAGCTTTGGGACAACTGTGGAAAAGTAAATATCTTCACATAAAAACTACACGGAAGCATTCTGAGAAACTTCTTTGGAGGTGTGCATTCAACTCACAGAGTTGAACCTATCTTTTCATTGAGCAGTTTTGAATCTCTCATTTTGTAGACTCTGCTCGCAGATATTTGGAGAGCTTTGAGGCCTATTGTGGAAAAGGAAATATCTTCACATAAAAACACACAGAAGCACTCTGAGAAACTTCTTTGTGAGGTGTGCTTTCAACTCACAGAGTTGAACCTATCTTTTGATTGAGAAGTTTTGAATCTCTCTTTTTGTAGAAGCTGCATGTGGATATTTGGAGACGTTTGTGGCCTATGGTAGAAAAGGAAATATCTTCAAATAAAAACTAGACAGACGCATTTTGAGAAAATTCTCTGTGCTGTGTGCATTCATATCACATGGTTGAAACTACCTTTGGATTGAGCAGTTTTGAATCTCACTTTTTGTACCATCTGCAATGGATATTTGGAGCCCTTTCTGGTCTGTGGTGGAAAAGGAACTATCCTCAAATAGAAACTACACAGAAGTACTCTGAGAAACTTCTTTGTGATGTGGGCATTCATCTCACAGAGTTGAACCTTTGGTTTGATTGAGCAGTTTTGAGACAATCTTTCCATAGAATCTGGAAGTGAATATTTGGAGAACTTTGAGATCCATTTTGGAGAAGGAGATATCTTTATATGAAAACTACACAGAAGCATTCTGAGAAACATCCTTGTGAGGTGTGCACTGAAGTCACAGAGTTGAAACTGTCTTTTGATTCAGCAGTTTTGAATCTCTCTTTTTGCAGAATCTGTGAGTGGATATTTGGAGCGCTTTGAGGCCTACTGTGGAAAACCAAATATCTTCACATAAAAACTACACAGAAGCATCCTGAGAAACTTTTTTTGTGATGTGGTCTTTCAGCTAATGGAGTAGAAACTATCTTTTGATTGAGCAGTTTTGAGTCTCTCTTTTTGCAGGATCTACGAGTGGATAATTGGAGAACTTTGAGGCGTACTGTGGAAAATCGAATATCTTCGCATAAAAACTACACAGAAGCATTCTGAGAAACTTCTCTGTCATACGTACATTCATCTCACAGGGTTGATCCTATTTCATGATTGAGCAGTTTTGGAACACTCTTTTTGTAGAATCTGCAAGTGAATATTTGGAGCTCTTTGGGGCCTACTGTGGAAAAACAAATATCTTCACATAAAAACTACACAGGAAGCATTCTGAGAAACTACTTTGTGATGTGTGCATTCATCCCACAGAGTAGAACCTTTCTTTTGATTGAGCAGTTTCGAAACACTCTTTTGGTGGAATCTGCAAGTGGACATTTGGAAAGCTTTGAGGCCTATTGTGGAAAGGGAAATATCTTCAAATAAAAACCACCCAGAAGTACTCTGTGAAACTTCTTTGCGATGTATGCATTCAACTCACAGTGTTGAACCTATGTTTTGATTGAGCAGTTTGGAATCTCTCTTTCTGTAGAATCTGCAAGTGAATATTTGGAGCCCTATTTCGCCCTATACTGGAAAAGCAATTATCTTCAAATAAAAACTGCACAGAAGCATTCAGAGAAACTTCTTTGAGATGAATGCATTCATGACACAGAGTTGAAACTTTGTTTTGATTTAGGAGTTTTGAGACAATCTTTCCGTAGAATCTTGAAGTGAATATTTGGAGGGCTTGGAGTTCTGTTTTAGAGAAGGAGATATCTTCATCAAAAACTACACAGAAGCTTTCTGAGAAACTTCTTTGTGATGTGTGCATTCAACTATCGGAGTTGAACCTATCTTATGATTGAGCAGTTTGGAAACACTCTTTGTAGAGTCTGCAAGTGGATATTTACAGAGATTTGAGGCCTATTGTGGAAAAGGAAGTATCTTCACATAAAAACCACACAGAAGCACTCTGAAAAACATCTTTGGGATGTGTGCATTCAACTAACCGTGTTGAAACAATGTTTTGATTGAGCAGCTTAGAATCTCTCTTTTTGTAGGAAATGCAAGTGGATATTTGGAGCCCCATTTCGCCCTATGGTGGAAAACGAAACATACTCACAAAAAAGCTGCAGAGAAGCATTCTGAGAAACTTCTTTGCGATGTTGGCATTCAACTCACAGTAGTCGAATCTATCTTTTGATAGAGCAGTTTTGTATCTCTCTTTTTGCAGAATCTGCAAGTGGATATTTGGAAAGCTTTGAGGCCTATTGTGGAAAGGGAAATATCCTCAAATAAAAACTACCCAGAAGCACTCTGTGAAACTTCTTTGTGATGTGTGCATTCAACTCACAGTGTTGAACCTATGTTTTGATTGAGCAGTTTGGAATCTCTCCTTTTGTAGAATCTGCAAGTGAATATTTGGAGCCCTATTTCGCCCTATACTGGAAAAGCAAATATCTTCAAATAAAAACTACACAGAGGCATTCAGAGAAACTTCTCTGTGATGAGTGCATTCATCACACAGAGTTGAACATTTGTTTAGATTTAGCAGTGTTGAGACAATCTTTCCGTAGAATCTTGAAGTGAATATTTGGAGGGCTTTGAGACCTGCTTTGGAGAAGGAGATATCTTCATATAAAAACTACACAGAAGCTTTCTGAGAAACACCCTTGTGAGGTGTGCATTGAAGTCACAGAGTTAAACCTATCTTTTGATTCAGCAGATTTGAATCTCTCTTTTTGCAGAATCTGCGAGTGGATATTTGGAGTGCTTGGAAGCCTGCTGTGGAAAATCAAATATCTTCACAAAAAAAACTACACAGAAGCATTCTGAGAAACTTCTTTGTGATGTGTGCATTGATCTCACAGAGTTGAAAGTTTATTTTGATTGAGCTGTTTTGAAACACTCTTTTTCTAGAATCTGCAAGTGGATAATTGGGGAGATTTGAGGCATATTGTGGAAAAGCCAATATCTTCATATAAAAACTATACAGAAACCTTCTGAGAAACATCTTTGTGATGTGTGCATTCAGCTCACAGAGCTGGACCTAACTTTTGAGTGACCAGTTTTGAATCTCTCTTTTTGTACAATATGCAAGTGGATATTTGGAGCGATTTGAGGCCTACATTTGTAAATCAAATATCTTCCCTTAAAATCTACACAGAAACATTCTCAGAAATTGTTTGTCATGTGTGCTTTCCAATTACCAAGTTGAACCTATCTTGTGATTGAGCAGTTTTGAATCTCTCTTTTTGTGGAATCGGCAAGTGGATATTTTTAGCCCTTTGCGGACTGTGGTGGAAAAGGAATTATCTTCAAATCAATTCTACACAGAAGCATTCAGACAAACTTCTTTGTGATGAGTGCATTGGTCACACAGAATTGAACCTTCCCTTTGATTGAGCAATTCTGAAACACTCTTTTGGAGGGTCTGCAAGTGGATATTTTAGAGCTTTGGGACAACTGTGGAAAAGTAAATATCTTCACATAAAAACTACACGGAAGCATTCTGAGAAACTTCTTTGGAGGTGTGCATTCAACTCACAGAGTTGAACCTATCTTTTCATTGAGCAGTTTTGAATCTCTCATTTTGTAGACTCTGCTCGCAGATATTTGGAGAGCTTTGAGGCCTATTGTGGAAAAGGAAATATCTTCACATAAAAACACACAGAAGCACTCTGAGAAACTTCTTTGTGAGGTGTGCTTTCAACTCACAGAGTTGAACCTATCTTTTGATTGAGAAGTTTTGAATCTCTCTTTTTGTAGAAGCTGCATGTGGATATTTGGAGACGTTTGTGGCCTATGGTAGAAAAGGAAATATCTTCAAATAAAAACTAGACAGACGCATTTTGAGAAAATTCTCTGTGCTGTGTGCATTCATATCACATGGTTGAAACTACCTTTGGATTGAGCAGTTTTGAATCTCACTTTTTGTACCATCTGCAATGGATATTTGGAGCCCTTTCTGGTCTGTGGTGGAAAAGGAACTATCCTCAAATAGAAACTACACAGAAGTACTCTGAGAAACTTCTTTGTGATGTGGGCATTCATCTCACAGAGTTGAACCTTTGGTTTGATTGAGCAGTTTTGAGACAATCTTTCCATAGAATCTGGAAGTGAATATTTGGAGAACTTTGAGATCCATTTTGGAGAAGGAGATATCTTTATATGAAAACTACACAGAAGCATTCTGAGAAACATCCTTGTGAGGTGTGCACTGAAGTCACAGAGTTGAAACTGTCTTTTGATTCAGCAGTTTTGAATCTCTCTTTTTGCAGAGTCTGTGAGCGGATATTTGGAGCGCTTTGAGGCCTACTGTGGAAAACCAAATATGTTCACATAAAAACTACACAGAAGCATCCTGAGAAACTTTTTTTGTGATGTGGTCTTTCAGCTAATGGAGTAGAAACTATCTTTTGATTGAGCAGTTTTGAATCTCTCTTTTTGCAGAATCTACGAGTGGATAATTGGAGAACTTTGAGGCGTACTGTGGAAAATCGAATATCTTCGCATAAAAACTACACAGAAGCATTCTGAGAAACTTCTCTGTCATACGTACATTCATCTCACAGGGTTGATCCTATTTCATGATTGAGCAGTTTTGGAACACTCTTTTTGTAGAATCTGCAAGTGAATATTTGGAGCTCTTTGGGGCCTACTGTGGAAAAACAAATATCTTCACATAAAAACTACACAGAAGCATTCTGAGAAACTACTTTGTGATGTGTGCATTCATCCCACAGAGTAGAACCTTTCTTTTGATTGAGCAGTTTCGAAACACTCTTTTGGTGGAATCTGCAAGTGGACATTTGGAAAGCTTTGAGGCCTATTGTGGAAAGGGAAATATCTTCAAATAAAAACCACCCAGAAGTACTCTGTGAAACTTCTTTGCGATGTATGCATTCAACTCACAGTGTTGAACCTATGTTTTGATTGAGCAGTTTGGAATCTCTCTTTCTGTAGAATCTGCAAGTGAATATTTGGAGCCCTATTTCGCCCTATACTGGAAAAGCAATTATCTTCAAATAAAAACTGCACAGAAGCACTCAGAGAAACTTCTTTGTGATGAATGCATTCATCACACAGAGTTGAACCTTTGTTTTGATTTAGCAGTTTGAGACAATCTTTCCGTAGAATCTTGAAGTGAATATTTGGAGGGCTTGGAGTTCTGTTTTAGAGAAGAAGATATCTTCATCAAAAACTACACAGAAGCTTTCCGAGAAACTTCTTTGTGATGTGTGCATTCAACTATCGGAGTTGAACCTATCTTATGATTGAGGAGTTTGGAAACACTCTTTGTAGAGTCTGCAAGTGGATATTTACAGAGATTTGAGGCCTATTGTGGAAAAGGAAGTATCTTCACATAAAAACCACACAGAAGCACTCTGAAAAACATCTTTGGGATGTGTGCATTCAACTAACCGTGTTGAAACAATGTTTTGATTGAGCAGCTTAGAATCTCTCTTTTTGTAGGAAATGCAAGTGGATATTTGGAGCCCCATTTCGCCCTATGGTGGAAAACGAAACATACTCACAAAAAAGCTGCAGAGAAGCATTCTGAGAAACTTCTTTGCGATGTTGGCATTCAACTCACAGAGTCGAATCTATCTTTTGATAGAGCAGTTTTGTATCTCTGTTTTTGCAGAATCTGCAAGTGGATATTTGGAAAGCTTTGAGGCCTATTGTGGAAAGGGAAATATCCTCAAATAAAAACTACCCAGAAGCACTCTGTGAAACTTCTTTGTGTTGTGTGCATTCAACTCACAGTGTTGAACCTATGTTTTGATTGAGCAGTTTGGAATCTCTCCTTTTGTAGAATCTGCAAGTGAATATTTGGAGCCCTATTTCGCCCTATACTGGAAAAGCAAATATCTTCAAATAAAAACTACACAGAGGCATTCAGAGAAACTTCTCTGTGATGAGTGCATTCATCACACAGAGTTGAACATTTGTTTAGATTTAGCAGTGTTGAGACAATCTTTCCGTAGAATCTTGAAGTGAATATTTGGAGGGCTTTGAGACCTGCTTTGGAGAAGGAGATATCTTCATATAAAAACTACACAGAAGCTTTCTGAGAAACACCCTTGTGAGGTGTGCATTGAAGTCACAGAGTTAAACCTATCTTTTGATTCAGCAGATTTGAATCTCTCTTTTTGCAGAATCTGCGAGTGGATATTTGGAGTGCTTGGAAGCCTGCTGTGGAAAATCAAATATCTTCACAAAAAAAACTACACAGAAGCATTCTGAGAAACTTCTTTGTGATGTGTGCATTGATCTCACAGAGTTGAAAGTTTATTTTGATTGAGCTGTTTTGAAACACTCTTTTTCTAGAATCTGCAAGTGGATAATTGGGGAGATTTGAGGCATATTGTGGAAAAGCAAATATCTTCATATAGAAACTATACAGAAACCTTCTGAGAAACATCTTTGTGATGTGTGCATTCAGCTCACAGAGCTGGACCTAACTTTTGAGTGACCAGTTTTGAATCTCTCTTTTTGTACAATATGCAAGTGGATATTTGGAGCGATTTGAGGCCTACATTTGAAAATCAAATATCTTCCCTTAAAAACTACACAGAAACATTCTCAGAAATTGTTTGTCATGTGTGCTTTCCAATTACCAAGTTGAACCTATCTTGTGATTGAGCAGTTTTGCATCTCTCTTTTTGTGGAATCGGCAAGTGGATATTTTTAGCCCTTTGCGGACTGTGGTGGAAAAGGAATTATCTTCAAATCAATTCTACACAGAAACATTCAGACAAACTTCTTTGTGATGAGTGCATTGGTCACACAGAATTGAACCTTCCCTTTGATTGAGCAATTCTGAAACACTCTTTTGGAGGGTCTGCAAGTGGGCATTTTAGAGCTTTGGGACAACTGTGGAAAAGTAAATATCTTCACATAAAAACTACACGGAAGCATTCTGAGAAACTTCTTTGGAGGTGTGCATTCAACTCACAGAGTTGAACCTATCTTTTCATTGAGCAGTTTTGAATCTCTCATTTTGTAGACTCTGCTCGCAGATATTTGGAGAGCTTTGAGGCCTATTGTGGAAAAGGAAATATCTTCACATAAAAACACACAGAAGCACTCTGAGAAACTTCTTTGTGAGGTGTGCTTTCAACTCACAGAGTTGAACCTATCTTTTGATTGAGAAGTTTTGAATCTCTCTTTTTGTAGAAGCTGCATGTGGATATTTGGAGACGTTTGTGGCCTATGGTAGAAAAGGAAATATCTTCAAATAAAAACTAGACAGACGCATTTTGAGAAAATTCTCTGTGCTGTGTGCATTCATATCACATGGTTGAAACTACCTTTGGATTGAGCAGTTTTGAATCTCACTTTTTGTACCATCTGCAATGGATATTTGGAGCCCTTTCTGGTCTGTGGTGGAAAAGGAACTATCCTCAAATAGAAACTACACAGAAGTACTCTGAGAAACTTCTTTGTGATGTGGGCATTCATCTCACAGAGTTGAACCTTTGGTTTGATTGAGCAGTTTTGAGACAATCTTTCCATGGAATCTGGAAGTGAATATTTGGAGAACTTTGAGATCCATTTTGGAGAAGGAGATATCTTTATATGAAAACTACACAGAAGCATTCTGAGAAACATCCTTGTGAGGTGTGCACTGAAGTCACAGAGTTGAAACTGTCTTTTGATTCAGCAGTTTTGAATCTCTCTTTTTGCAGAACCTGTGAGTGGATATTTGGAGCGCTTTGAGGCCTACTGTGGAAAACCAAATATCTTCACATAAAAACTACACAGAAGCATCCTGAGAAACTTTTTTTGTGATGTGGTCTTTCAGCTAATGGAGTAGAAACTATCTTTTGATTGAGCAGTTTTGAATCTCTCTTTTTGCAGAATCTACGAGTGGATAATTGGAGAACTTTGAGGCGTACTGTGGAAAATCGAATATCTTCGCATAAAAACTACACAGAAGCATTCTGAGAAACTTCTCTGTCATACGTACATTCATCTCACAGGGTTGATCCTATTTCATGATTGAGCAGTTTTGGAACACTCTTTTTGTAGAATCTGCAAGTGAATATTTGGAGCTCTTTGGGGCCTACTGTGGAAAAACAAATATCTTCACATAAAAACTACACAGAAGCATTCTGAGAAACTACTTTGTGATGTGTGCATTCATCCCACAGAGTAGAACCTTTCTTTTGATTGAGCAGTTTCAAAACACGCTTTTGGTGGAATCTGCAAGTGGACATTTGGAAAGCTTTGAGGCCTATTGTGGAAAGGGAAATATCTTCAAATAAAAACCACCCAGAAGTACTCTGTGAAACTTCTTTGCGATGTATGCATTCAACTCACAGTGTTGAACCTATGTTTTGATTGAGCAGTTTGGAATCTCTCTTTCTGTAGAATCTGCAAGTGAATATTTGGAGCCCTATTTCGCCCTATACTGGAAAAGCAATTATCTTCAAATAAAAACTGCACAGAAGCACTCAGAGAAACTTCTTTGTGATGAATGCATTCATCACACAGAGTTGAACCTTTGTTTTGATTTAGCAGTTTGAGACAATCTTTCCGTAGAATCTTGAAGTGAATATTTGGAGGGCTTGGAGTTCTGTTTTAGAGAAGAAGATATCTTCATCAAAAACTACACAGTAGCTTTCCGAGAAACTTCTTTGTGATGTGTGCATTCAACTATCGGAGTTGAACCTATCTTATGATTGAGGAGTTTGGAAACACTCTTTGTAGAGTCTGCAAGTGGATATTTACAGAGATTTGAGGCCTATTGTGGAAAAGGAAGTATCTTCACATAAAAACCACACAGAAGCACTCTGAAAAACATCTTTGGGATGTGTGCATTCAACTAACCGTGTTGAAACAATGTTTTGATTGAGCAGCTTAGAATCTCTCTTTTTGTAGGAAATGCAAGTGGATATTTGGAGCCCCATTTCGCCCTATGGTGGAAAACGAAACATACTCACAAAAAAGCTGCAGAGAAGCATTCTGAGAAACTTCTTTGCGATGTTGGCATTCAACTCACAGAGTCGAATCTATCTTTTGATAGAGCAGTTTTGTATCTCTCTTTTTGCAGAATCTGCAAGTGGATATTTGGAAAGCTTTGAGGCCTATTGTGGAAAGGGAAATATCCTCAAATAAAAACTACCCAGAAGCACTCTGTGAAACTTCTTTGTGATGTGTGCATTCAACTCACAGTGTTGAACCTATGTTTTGATTGAGCAGTTTGGAATCTCTCCTTTTGTAGAATCTGCAAGTGAATATTTGGAGCCCTATTTCGCCCTATACTGGAAAAGCAAATATCTTCAAATAAAAACTACACAGAGGCATTCAGAGAAACTTCTCTGTGATGAGTGCATTCATCACACAGAGTTGAACATTTGTTTAGATTTAGCAGTGTTGAGACAATCTTTCCGTAGAATCTTGAAGTGAATATTTGGAGGGCTTTGAGACCTGCTTTGGAGAAGGAGATATCTTCATATAAAAACTACACAGAAGCTTTCTGAGAAACACCCTTGTGAGGTGTGCATTGAAGTCACAGAGTTAAACCTATCTTTTGATTCAGCAGATTTGAATCTCTCTTTTTGCAGAATCTGCGAGTGGATATTTGGAGTGCTTGGAAGCCTGCTGTGGAAAATCAAATATCTTCACAAAAAAACTACACAGAAGCATTCTGAGAAACTTCTTTGTGATGTGTGCATTGATCTCACAGAGTTGAAAGTTTATTTTGATTGAGCTGTTTTGAAACACTCTTTTTCTAGAATCTGCAAGTGGATAATTGGGGAGATTTGAGGCATATTGTGGAAAAGCAAATATCTTCATATAGAAACTATACAGAAACCTTCTGAGAAACATCTTTGTGATGTGTGCATTCAGCTCACAGAGCTGGACCTAACTTTTGAGTGACCAGTTTTGAATCTCTCTTTTTGTACAATATGCAAGTGGATATTTGGAGCGATTTGAGGCCTACATTTGAAAATCAAATATCTTCCCTTAAAAACTACACAGAAACATTCTCAGAAATTGTTTGTCATGTGTGCTTTCCAATTACCAAGTTGAACCTATCTTGTGATTGAGCAGTTTTGAATCTCTCTTTTTGTGGAATCGGCAAGTGGATATTTTTAGCCCTTTGCGGACTGTGGTGGAAAAGGAATTATCTTCAAATCAATTCTACACAGAAGCATTCAGACAAACTTCTTTGTGATGAGTGCATTGGTCACACAGAATTGAACCTTCCCTTTGATTGAGCAATTCTGAAACACTCTTTTGGAGGGTCTGCAAGTGGACATTTTAGAGCTTTGGGACAACTGTGGAAAAGTAAATATCTTCACATAAAAACTACACGGAAGCATTCTGAGAAACTTCTTTGGAGGTGTGCATTCAACTCACAGAGTTGAACCTATCTTTTCATTGAGCAGTTTTGAATCTCTCATTTTGTAGACTCTGCTCGCAGATATTTGGAGAGCTTTGAGGCCTATTGTGGAAAAGGAAATATCTTCACATAAAAACACACAGAAGCACTCTGAGAAACTTCTTTGTGAGGTGTGCTTTCAACTCACAGAGTTGAACCTATCTTTTGATTGAGAAGTTTTGAATCTCTCTTTTTGTAGAAGCTGCATGTGGATATTTGGAGACGTTTGTGGCCTATGGTAGAAAAGGAAATATCTTCAAATAAAAACTAGACAGACGCATTTTGAGAAAATTCTCTGTGCTGTGTGCATTCATATCACATGGTTGAAACTACCTTTGGATTGAGCAGTTTTGAATCTCACTTTTTGTACCATCTGCAATGGATATTTGGAGCCCTTTCTGGTCTGTGGTGGAAAAGGAACTATCCTCAAATAGAAACTACACAGAAAGTACTCTGAGAAACTTCTTTGTGATGTGGGCATTCATCTCACAGAGTTGAACCTTTGGTTTGATTGAGCAGTTTTGAGACAATCTTTCCATAGAATCTGGAAGTGAATATTTGGAGAACTTTGAGATCCATTTTGGAGAAGGAGATATCTTTATATAAAAACTACACAGAAGCATTCTGAGAAACATCCTTGTGAGGTGTGCACTGAAGTCACAGAGTTGAAACTGTCTTTTGATTCAGCAGTTTTGAATCTCTCTTTTTGCAGAATCTGTGAGTGGATATTTGGAGCGCTTTGAGGCCTACTGTGGAAAACCAAATATCTTCACATAAAAACTACACAGAAGCATCCTGAGAAACTTTTTTTGTGATGTGGTCTTTCAGCTAATGGAGTAGAAACTATCTTTTGATTGAGCAGTTTTGAATCTCTCTTTTTGAAGGATCTACGAGTGGATAATTGGAGAACTTTGAGGCGTACTGTGGAAAATCGAATATCTTCGCATAAAAACTACACAGAAGCATTCTGAGAAACTTCTCTGTCATACGTACATTCATCTCACAGGGTTGATCCTATTTCATGATTGAGCAGTTTTGGAACACTCTTTTTGTAGAATCTGCAAGTGAATATTTGGAGCTCTTTGGGGCCTACTGTGGAAAAACAAATATCTTCACATAAAAACTACACAGAAGCATTCTGAGAAACTACTTTGTGATGTGTGCATTCATCCCACAGAGTAGAACCTTTCTTTTGATTGAGCAGGTTCGAAACACTCTTTTGGTGGAATCTGCAAGTGGACATTTGGAAAGCTTTGAGGCCTATTGTGGAAAGGGAAATATCTTCAAATAAAAACCACCCAGAAGTACTCTGTGAAACTTCTTTGCGATGTATGCATTCAACTCACAGTGTTGAACCTATGTTTTGATTGAGCAGTTTGGAATCTCTCTTTCTGTAGAATCTGCAAGTGAATATTTGGAGCCCTATTTCGCCCTATACTGGAAAAGCAATTATCTTCAAATAAAAACTGCACAGAAGCATTCAGAGAAACTTCTTTGAGATGAATGCATTCATGACACAGAGTTGAAACTTTGTTTTGATTTAGGAGTTTTGAGACAATCTTTCCGTAGAATCTTGAAGTGAATATTTGGAGGGCTTGGAGTTCTGTTTTAGAGAAGGAGATATCTTCATCAAAAACTACACAGAAGCTTTCTGAGAAACTTCTTTGTGATGTGTGCATTCAACTATCGGAGTTGAACCTATCTTATGATTGAGCAGTTTGGAAACACTCTTTGTAGAGTCTGCAAGTGGATATTTACAGAGATTTGAGGCCTATTGTGGAAAAGGAAGTATCTTCACATAAAAACCACACAGAAGCACTCTGAAAAACATCTTTGGGATGTGTGCATTCAACTAACCGTGTTGAAACAATGTTTTGATTGAGCAGCTTAGAATCTCTCTTTTTGTAGGAAATGCAAGTGGATATTTGGAGCCCCATTTCGCCCTATGGTGGAAAACGAAACATACTCACAAAAAAGCTGCAGAGAAGCATTCTGAGAAACTTCTTTGCGATGTTGGCATTCAACTCACAGAGTCGAATCTATCTTTTGATAGAGCAGTTTTGTATCTCTCTTTTTGCAGAATCTGCAAGTGGATATTTGGAAAGCTTTGAGGCCTATTGTGGAAAGGGAAATATCCTCAAATAGAAACTACCCAGAAGCACTCTGTGAAACTTCTTTGTGATGTGTGCATTCAACTCACAGTGTTGAACCTATGTTTTGATTGAGCAGTTTGGAATCTCTCCTTTTGTAGAATCTGCAAGTGAATATTTGGAGCCCTATTTCGCCCTATACTGGAAAAGCAAATATCTTCAAATAAAAACTACACAGAGGCATTCAGAGAAACTTCTCTGTGATGAGTGCATTCATCACACAGAGTTGAACATTTGTTTAGATTTAGCAGTGTTGAGACAATCTTTCCGTAGAATCTTGAAGTGAATATTTGGAGGGCTTTGAGACCTGCTTTGGAGAAGGAGATATCTTCATATAAAAACTACACAGAAGCTTTCTGAGAAACACTCTTGTGAGGTGTGCATTGAAGTCACAGAGTTAAACCTATCTTTTGATTCAGCAGATTTGAATCTCTCTTTTTGCAGAATCTGCGAGTGGATATTTGGAGTGCTTGGAAGCCTGCTGTGGAAAATCAAATATCTTCACAAAAAAAACTACACAGAAGCATTCTGAGAAACTTCTTTGTGATGTGTGCATTGATCTCACAGAGTTGAAAGTTTATTTGGATTGAGCTGTTTTGAAACACTCTTTTTCTAGAATCTGCAAGTGGATAATTGGGGAGATTTGAGGCATATTGTGGAAAAGCAAATATCTTCATATAGAAACTATACAGAAAACCTTCTGAGAAACATCTTTGTGATGTGTGCATTCAGCTCACAGAGCTGGACCTAACTTTTGAGTGACCAGTTTTGAATCTCTCTTTTTGTACAATATGCAAGTGGATATTTGGAGCGATTTGAGGCCTACATTTGAAAATCAAATATCTTCCCTTAAAAACTACACAGAAACATTCTCAGAAATTGTTTGTCATGTGTGCTTTCCAATTACCAAGTTGAACCTATCTTGTGATTGAGCAGTTTTGAATCTCTCTTTTTGTGGAATCGGCAAGTGGATATTTTTAGCCCTTTGCGGACTGTGGTGGAAAAGGAATTATCTTCAAATCAATTCTACACAGAAGCATTCAGACAAACTTCTTTGTGATGAGTGCATTGGTCACACAGAATTGAACCTTCCCTTTGATTGAGCAATTCTGAAACACTCTTTTGGAGGGTCTGCAAGTGGATATTTTAGAGCTTTGGGACAACTGTGGAAAAGTAAATATCTTCACATAAAAACTACACGGAAGCATTCTGAGAAACTTCTTTGGAGGTGTGCATTCAACTCACAGAGTTGAACCTATCTTTTCATTGAGCAGTTTTGAATCTCTCATTTTGTAGACTCTGCTCGCAGATATTTGGAGAGCTTTGAGGCCTATTGTGGAAAAGGAAATATCTTCACATAAAAACACACAGAAGCACTCTGAGAAACTTCTTTGTGAGGTGTGCTTTCAACTCACAGAGTTGAACCTATCTTTTGATTGAGAAGTTTTGAATCTCTCTTTTTGTAGAAGCTGCATGTGGATATTTGGAGACGTTTGTGGCCTATGGTAGAAAAGGAAATATCTTCAAATAAAAACTAGACAGACGCATTTTGAGAAAATTCTCTGTGCTGTGTGCATTCATATCACATGGTTGAAACTACCTTTGGATTGAGCAGTTTTGAATCTCACATTTTGTACCATCTGCAATGGATATTTGGAGCCCTTTCTGGTCTGTGGTGGAAAAGGAACTATCCTCAAATAGAAACTACACAGAAGTACTCTGAGAAACTTCTTTGTGATGTGGGCATTCATCTCACAGAGTTGAACCTTTGGTTTGATTGAGCAGTTTTGAGACAATCTTTCCATAGAATCTGGAAGTGAATATTTGGAGAACTTTGAGATCCATTTTGGAGAAGGAGATATCTTTATATGAAAACTACACAGAAGCATTCTGAGAAACATCCTTGTGAGGTGTGCACTGAAGTCACAGAGTTGAAACTGTCTTTTGATTCAGCAGTTTTGAATCTCTCTTTTTGCAGAATCTGTGAGTGGATATTTGGAGCGCTTTGAGGCCTACTGTGGAAAACCAAATATCTTCACATAAAAACTACACAGAAGCATCCTGAGAAACTTTTTTTGTGATGTGGTCTTTCAGCTAATGGAGTAGAAACTATCTTTTGATTGAGCAGTTTTGAATCTCTCTTTTTGCAGAATCTACGAGTGGATAATTGGAGAACTTTGAGGCGTACTGTGGAAAATCGAATATCTTCGCATAAAAACTACACAGAAGCATTCTGAGAAACTTCTCTGTCATACGTACATTCATCTCACAGGGTTGATCCTATTTCATGATTGAGCAGTTTTGGAACACTCTTTTTGTAGAATCTGCAAGTGAATATTTGGAGCTCTTTGGGGCCTACTGTGGAAAAACAAATATCTTCACATAAAAACTACACAGGAAGCATTCTGAGAAACTACTTTGTGATGTGTGCATTCATCCCACAGAGTAGAACCTTTCTTTTGATTGAGCAGTTTCGAAACACTCTTTTGGTGGAATCTGCAAGTGGACATTTGGAAAGCTTTGAGGCCTATTGTGGAAAGGGAAATATCTTCAAATAAAAACCACCCAGAAGTACTCTGTGAAACTTCTTTGCGATGTATGCATTCAACTCACAGTGTTGAACCTATGTTTTGATTGAGCAGTTTGGAATCTCTCTTTCTGTAGAATCTGCAAGTGAATATTTGGAGCCCTATTTCGCCCTATACTGGAAAAGCAATTATCTTCAAATAAAAACTGCACAGAAGCATTCAGAGAAACTTCTTTGAGATGAATGCATTCATGACACAGAGTTGAAACTTTGTTTTGATTTAGGAGTTTTGAGACAATCTTTCCGTAGAATCTTGAAGTGAATATTTGGAGGGCTTGGAGTTCTGTTTTAGAGAAGGAGATATCTTCATCAAAAACTACACAGAAAAGCTTTCTGAGAAACTTCTTTGTGATGTGTGCATTCAGCTATCGGAGTTGAACCTATCTTATGATTGAGCAGTTTGGAAACACTCTTTGTAGAGTCTGCAAGTGGATATTTACAGAGATTTGAGGCCTATTGTGGAAAAGGAAGTATCTTCACATAAAAACCACACAGAAGCACTCTGAAAAACATCTTTGGGATGTGTGCATTCAACTAACCGTGTTGAAACAATGTTTTGATTGAGCAGCTTAGAATCTCTCTTTTTGTAGGAAATGCAAGTGGATATTTGGAGCCCCATTTCGCCCTATGGTGGAAAACGAAACATACTCACAAAAAAGCTGCAGAGAAGCATTCTGAGAAACTTCTTTGCGATGTTGGCATTCAACTCACAGAGTCGAATCTATCTTTTGATAGAGCAGTTTTGTATCTCTCTTTTTGCAGAATCTGCAAGTGGATATTTGGAAAGCTTTGAGGCCTATTGTGGAAAGGGAAATATCCTCAAATAAAAACTACCCAGAAGCACTCTGTGAAACTTCTTTGTGATGTGTGCATTCAACTCACAGTGTTGAACCTATGTTTTGATTGAGCAGTTTGGAATCTCTCCTTTTGTAGAATCTGCAAGTGAATATTTGGAGCCCTATTTCGCCCTATACTGGAAAAGCAAATATCTTCAAATAAAAACTACACAGAGGCATTCAGAGAAACTTCTCTGTGATGAGTGCATTCATCACACAGAGTTGAACATTTGTTTAGATTTAGCAGTGTTGAGACAATCTTTCCGTAGAATCTTGAAGTGAATATTTGGAGGGCTTTGAGACCTGCTTTGGAGAAGGAGATATCTTCATATAAAAACTACACAGAAGCTTTCTGAGAAACACCCTTGTGAGGTGTGCATTGAAGTCACAGAGTTAAACCTATCTTTTGATTCAGCAGATTTGAATCTCTCTTTTTGCAGAATCTGCGAGTGGATATTTGGAGTGCTTGGAAGCCTGCTGTGGAAAATCAAATATCTTCACAAAAAAAACTACACAGAAGCATTCTGAGAAACTTCTTTGTGATGTGTGCATTGATCTCACAGAGTTGAAAGTTTATTTTGATTGAGCTGTTTTGAAACACTCTTTTTCTAGAATCTGCAAGTGGATAATTGGGGAGATTTGAGGCATATTGTGGAAAAGCCAATATCTTCATATAAAAACTATACAGAAACCTTCTGAGAAACATCTTTGTGATGTGTGCATTCAGCTCACAGAGCTGGACCTAACTTTTGAGTGACCAGTTTTGAATCTCTCTTTTTGTACAATATGCAAGTGGATATTTGGAGCGATTTGAGGCCTACATTTGAAAATCAAATATCTTCCCTTAAAATCTACACAGAAACATTCTCAGAAATTGTTTGTCATGTGTGCTTTCCAATTACCAAGTTGAACCTATCTTGTGATTGAGCAGTTTTGAATCTCTCTTTTTGTGGAATCGGCAAGTGGATATTTTTAGCCCTTTGCGGACTGTGGTGGAAAAGGAATTATCTTCAAATCAATTCTACACAGAAGCATTCAGACAAACTTCTTTGTGATGAGTGCATTGGTCACACAGAATTGAACCTTCCCTTTGATTGAGCAATTCTGAAACACTCTTTTGGAGGGTCTGCAAGTGGATATTTTAGAGCTTTGGGACAACTGTGGAAAAGTAAATATCTTCACATAAAAACTACACGGAAGCATTCTGAGAAACTTCTTTGGAGGTGTGCATTCAACTCACAGAGTTGAACCTATCTTTTCATTGAGCAGTTTTGAATCTCTCATTTTGTAGACTCTGCTCGCAGATATTTGGAGAGCTTTGAGGCCTATTGTGGAAAAGGAAATATCTTCACATAAAAACACACAGAAGCACTCTGAGAAACTTCTTTGTGAGGTGTGCTTTCAACTCACAGAGTTGAACCTATCTTTTGATTGAGAAGTTTTGAATCTCTCTTTTTGTAGAAGCTGCATGTGGATATTTGGAGACGTTTGTGGCCTATGGTAGAAAAGGAAATATCTTCAAATAAAAACTAGACAGACGCATTTTGAGAAAATTCTCTGTGCTGTGTGCATTCATATCACATGGTTGAAACTACCTTTGGATTGAGCAGTTTTGAATCTCACTTTTTGTACCATCTGCAATGGATATTTGGAGCCCTTTCTGGTCTGTGGTGGAAAAGGAACTATCCTCAAATAGAAACTACACAGAAGTACTCTGAGAAACTTCTTTGTGATGTGGGCATTCATCTCACAGAGTTGAACCTTTGGTTTGATTGAGCAGTTTTGAGACAATCTTTCCATAGAATCTGGAAGTGAATATTTGGAGAACTTTGAGATGCATTTTGGAGAAGGAGATATCTTTATATGAAAACTACACAGAAGCATTCTGAGAAACATCCTTGTGAGGTGTGCACTGAAGTCACAGAGTTGAAACTGTCTTTTGATTCAGCAGTTTTGAATCTCTCTTTTTGCAGAATCTGTGAGTGGATATTTGGAGCGCTTTGAGGCCTACTGTGGAAAACCAAATATCTTCACATAAAAACTACACAGAAGCATCCTGAGAAACTTTTTTTGTGATGTGGTCTTTCAGCTAATGGAGTAGAAACTATCTTTTGATTGAGCAGTTTTGAATCTCTCTTTTTGCAGAATCTACGAGTGGATAATTGGAGAACTTTGAGGCGTACTGTGGAAAATCGAATATCTTCGCATAAAAACTACACAGAAGCATTCTGAGAAACTTCTCTGTCATACGTACATTCATCTCACAGGGTTGATCCTATTTCATGATTGAGCAGTTTTGGAACACTCTTTTTGTAGAATCTGCAAGTGAATATTTGGAGCTCTTTGGGGCCTACTGTGGAAAAACAAATATCTTCACATAAAAACTACACAGAAGCATTCTGAGAAACTACTTTGTGATGTGTGCATTCATCCCACAGAGTAGAACCTTTCTTTTGATTGAGCAGTTTCGAAACACTCTTTTGGTGGAATCTGCAAGTGGACATTTGGAAAGCTTTGAGGCCTATTGTGGAAAGGGAAATATCTTCAAATAAAAACCACCCAGAAGTACTCTGTGAAACTTCTTTGCGATGTATGCATTCAACTCACAGTGTTGAAACTATGTTTTGATTGAGCAGTTTGGAATCTCTCTTTCTGTAGAATCTGCAAGTGAATATTTGGAGCCCTATTTCGCCCTATACTGGAAAAGCAATTATCTTCAAATAAAAACTGCACAGAAGCATTCAGAGAAACTTCTTTGAGATGAATGCATTCATGACACAGAGTTGAAACTTTGTTTTGATTTAGGAGTTTTGAGACAATCTTTCCGTAGAATCTTGAAGTGAATATTTGGAGGGCTTGGAGTTCTGTTTTAGAGAAGGAGATATCTTCATCAAAAACTACACAGAAGCTTTCTGAGAAACTTCTTTGTGATGTGTGCATTCAACTATCGGAGTTGAACCTATCTTATGATTGAGCAGTTTGGAAACACTCTTTGTAGAGTCTGCAAGTGGATATTTACAGAGATTTGAGGCCTATTGTGGAAAAGGAAGTATCTTCACATAAAAACCACACAGAAGCACTCTGAAAAACATCTTTGGGATGTGTGCATTCAACTAACCGTGTTGAAACAATGTTTTGATTGAGCAGCTTAGAATCTCTCTTTTTGTAGGAAATGCAAGTGGATATTTGGAGCCCCATTTCGCCCTATGGTGGAAAACGAAACATACTCACAAAAAAGCTGCAGAGAAGCATTCTGAGAAACTTCTTTGCGATGTTGGCATTCAACTCACAGAGTCGAATCTATCTTTTGATAGAGCAGTTTTGTATCTCTCTTTTTGCAGAATCTGCAAGTGGATATTTGGAAAGCTTTGAGGCCTATTGTGGAAAGGGAAATATCCTCAAATAAAAACTACCCAGAAGCACTCTGTGAAACTTCTTTGTGATGTGTGCATTCAACTCACAGTGTTGAACCTATGTTTTGATTGAGCAGTTTGGAATCTCTCCTTTTGTAGAATCTGCAAGTGAATATTTGGAGCCCTATTTCGCCCTATACTGGAAAAGCAAATATCTTCAAATAAAAACTACACAGAGGCATTCAGAGAAACTTCTCTGTGATGAGTGCATTCATCACACAGAAGTTGAACATTTGTTTAGATTTAGCAGTGTTGAGACAATCTTTCCGTAGAATCTTGAAGTGAATATTTGGAGGGCTTTGAGACCTGCTTTGGAGAAGGAGATATCTTCATATAAAAACTACACAGAAGCTTTCTGAGAAACACCCTTGTGAGGTGTGCATTGAAGTCACAGAGTTAAACCTATCTTTTGATTCAGCAGATTTGAATCTCTCTTTTTGCAGAATCTGCGAGTGGATATTTGGAGTGCTTGGAAGCCTGCTGTGGAAAATCAAATATCTTCACAAAAAAAACTACACAGAAGCATTCTGAGAAACTTCTTTGTGATGTGTGCATTGATCTCACAGAGTTGAAAGTTTATTTTGATTGAGCTGTTTTGAAACACTCTTTTTCTAGAATCTGCAAGTGGATAATTGGGGAGATTTGAGGCATATTGTGGAAAAGCAAATATCTTCATATAAAAACTATACAGAAACCTTCTGAGAAACATCTTTGTGATGTGTGCATTCAGCTCACAGAGCTGGACCTAACTTTTGAGTGACCAGTTTTGAATCTCTCTTTTTGTACAATATGCAAGTGGATATTTGGAGCGATTTGAGGCCTACATTTGAAAATCAAATATCTTCCCTTAAAAACTACACAGAAACATTCTCAGAAATTGTTTGTCATGTGTGCTTTCCAATTACCAAGTTGAACCTATCTTGTGATTGAGCAGTTTTGAATCTCTCTTTTTGTGGAATCGGCAAGTGGATATTTTTAGCCCTTTGCGGACTGTGGTGGAAAAGGAATTATCTTCAAATGAATTCTACACAGAAGCATTCAGACAAACTTCTTTGTGATGAGTGCATTGGTCACACAGAATTGAACCTTCCCTTTGATTGAGCAATTCTGAAACACTCTTTTGGAGGGTCTGCAAGTGGATATTTTAGAGCTTTGGGACAACTGTGGAAAAGTAAATATCTTCACATAAAAACTACACGGAAGCATTCTGAGAAACTTCTTTGGAGGTGTGCATTCAACTCACAGAGTTGAACCTATCTTTTCATTGAGCAGTTTTGAATCTCTCATTTTGTAGACTCTGCTCGCAGATATTTGGAGAGCTTTGAGGCCTATTGTGGAAAAGGAAATATCTTCACATAAAAACACACAGAAGCACTCTGAGAAACTTCTTTGTGAGGTGTGCTTTCAACTCACAGAGTTGAACCTATCTTTTGATTGAGAAGTTTTGAATCTCTCTTTTTGTAGAAGCTGCATGTGGATATTTGGAGACGTTTGTGGCCTATGGTAGAAAAGGAAATATCTTCAAATAAAAACTAGACAGACGCATTTTGAGAAAATTCTCTGTGCTGTGTGCATTCATATCACAGGGTTGAAACTACCTTTGGATTGAGCAGTTTTGAATCTCACATTTTGTACCATCTGCAATGGATATTTGGAGCCCTTTCTGGTCTGTGGTGGAAAAGGAACTATCCTCAAATAGAAACTACACAGAAGTACTCTGAGAAACTTCTTTGTGATGTGGGCATTCATCTCACAGAGTTGAACCTTTGGTTTGATTGAGCAGTTTTGAGACAATCTTTCCATAGAATCTGGAAGTGAATATTTGGAGAACTTTGAGATCCATTTTGGAGAAGGAGATATCTTTATATGAAAACTACACAGAAGCATTCTGAGAAACATCCTTGTGAGGTGTGCACTGAAGTCACAGAGTTGAAACTGTCTTTTGATTCAGCAGTTTTGAATCTCTCTTTTTGCAGAATCTGTGAGTGGATATTTGGAGCGCTTTGAGGCCTACTGTGGAAAACCAAATATCTTCACATAAAAACTACACAGAAGCATCCTGAGAAACTTTTTTTGTGATGTGGTCTTTCAGCTAATGGAGTAGAAACTATCTTTTGATTGAGCAGTTTTGAATCTCTCTTTTTGCAGAATCTACGAGTGGATAATTGGAGAACTTTGAGGCGTACTGTGGAAAATCGAATATCTTCGCATAAAAACTACACAGAAGCATTCTGAGAAACTTCTCTGTCATACGTACATTCATCTCACAGGGTTGATCCTATTTCATGATTGAGCAGTTTTGGAACACTCTTTTTGTAGAATCTGCAAGTGAATATTTGGAGCTCTTTGGGGCCTACTGTGGAAAAACAAATATCTTCACATAAAAACTACACAGAAGCATTCTGAGAAACTACTTTGTGATGTGTGCATTCATCCCACAGAGTAGAACCTTTCTTTTGATTGAGCAGTTTCGAAACACTCTTTTGGTGGAATCTGCAAGTGGACATTTGGAAAGCTTTGAGGCCTATTGTGGAAAGGGAAATATCTTCAAATAAAAACCACCCAGAAGTACTCTGTGAAACTTCTTTGCGATGTATGCATTCAACTCACAGTGTTGAACCTATGTTTTGATTGAGCAGTTTGGAATCTCTCTTTCTGTAGAATCTGCAAGTGAATATTTGGAGCCCTATTTCGCCCTATACTGGAAAAGCAATTATCTTCAAATAAAAACTGCACAGAAGCACTCAGAGAAACTTCTTTGTGATGAATGCATTCATCACACAGAGTTGAACCTTTGTTTTGATTTAGCAGTTTGAGACAATCTTTCCGTAGAATCTTGAAGTGAATATTTGGAGGGCTTGGAGTTCTGTTTTAGAGAAGAAGATATCTTCATCAAAAACTACACAGAAGCTTTCTGAGAAACTTCTTTGTGATGTGTGCATTCAACTATCGGAGTTGAACCTATCTTATGATTGAGCAGTTTGGAAACACTCTTTGTGGAGTCTGCAAGTGGATATTTACAGAGATTTGAGGCCTATTGTGGAAAAGGAAGTATCTTCACATAAAAACCACACAGAAGCACTCTGAAAAACGTCTTTGGGATGTGTGCATTCAACTAACCGTGTTGAAACAATGTTTTGATTGAGCAGCTTAGAATCTCTCTTTTTGTAGGAAATGCAAGTGGATATTTGGAGCCCCATTTCGCCCTATGGTGGAAAACGAAACATACTCACAAAAAAGCTGCAGAGAAGCATTCTGAGAAACTTCTTTGCGATGTTGGCATTCAACTCACAGAGTCGAATCTATCTTTTGATAGAGCAGTTTTGTATCTCTCTTTTTGCAGAATCTGCAAGTGGATATTTGGAAAGCTTTGAGGCCTATTGTGGAAAGGGAAATATCCTCAAATAAAAACTACCCAGAAGCACTCTGTGAAACTTCTTTGTGATGTGTGCATTCAACTCACAGTGTTGAACCTATGTTTTGATTGAGCAGTTTGGAATCTCTCCTTTTGTAGAATCTGCAAGTGAATATTTGGAGCCCTATTTCGCCCTATACTGGAAAAGCAAATATCTTCAAATAAAAACTACACAGAGGCATTCAGAGAAACTTCTCTGTGATGAGTGCATTCATCACACAGAGTTGAACATTTGTTTAGATTTAGCAGTGTTGAGACAATCTTTCCGTAGAATCTTGAAGTGAATATTTGGAGGGCTTTGAGACCTGCTTTGGAGAAGGAGATATCCTCATATAAAAACTACACAGAAGCTTTCTGAGAAACACCCTTGTGAGGTGTGCATTGAAGTCACAGAGTTAAACCTATCTTTTGATTCAGCAGATTTGAATCTCTCTTTTTGCAGAATCTGCGAGTGGATATTTGGAGTGCTTGGAAGCCTGCTGTGGAAAATCAAATATCTTCACAAAAAAAACTACACAGAAGCATTCTGAGAAACTTCTTTGTGATGTGTGCATTGATCTCACAGAGTTGAAAGTTTATTTTGATTGAGCTGTTTTGAAACACTCTTTTTCTAGAATCTGCAAGTGGATAATTGGGGAGATTTGAGGCATATTGTGGAAAAGCAAATATCTTCATATAGAAACTATACAGAAACCTTCTGAGAAACATCTTTGTGATGTGTGCATTCAGCTCACAGAGCTGGACCTAACTTTTGAGTGACCAGTTTTGAATCTCTCTTTTTGTACAATATGCAAGTGGATATTTGGAGCGATTTGAGGCCTACATTTGAAAATCAAATATCTTCCCTTAAAAACTACACAGAAACATTCTCAGAAATTGTTTGTCATGTGTGCTTTCCAATTACCAAGTTGAACCTATCTTGTGATTGAGCAGTTTTGAATCTCTCTTTTTGTGGAATCGGCAAGTGGATATTTTTAGCCCTTTGCGGACTGTGGTGGAAAAGGAATTATCTTCAAATCAATTCTACACAGAAGCATTCAGACAAACTTCTTTGTGATGAGTGCATTGGTCACACAGAATTGAACCTTCCCTTTGATTGAGCAATTCTGAAACACTCTTTTGGAGGGTCTGCAAGTGGACATTTTAGAGCTTTGGGACAACTGTGGAAAAGTAAATATCTTCACATAAAAACTACACGGAAGCATTCTGAGAAACTTCTTTGGAGGTGTGCATTCAACTCACAGAGTTGAACCTATCTTTTCATTGAGCAGTTTTGAATCTCTCATTTTGTAGACTCTGCTCGCAGATATTTGGAGAGCTTTGAGGCCTATTGTGGAAAAGGAAATATCTTCACATAAAAACACACAGAAGCACTCTGAGAAACTTCTTTGTGAGGTGTGCTTTCAACTCACAGAGTTGAACCTATCTTTTGATTGAGAACTTTTGAATCTCTCTTTTTGTAGAAGCTGCATGTGGATATTTGGAGACGTTTGTGGCCTATGGTAGAAAAGGAAATATCTTCAAATAAAAACTAGACAGACGCATTTTGAGAAAATTCTCTGTGCTGTGTGCATTCATATCACATGGTTGAAACTACCTTTGGATTGAGCAGTTTTGAATCTCACTTTTTGTACCATCTGCAATGGATATCTGGAGCCCTTTCTGGTCTGTGGTGGAAAAGGAACTATCCTCAAGTAGAAACTACACAGAAGTACTCTGAGAAACTTCTTTGTGATGTGGGCATTCATCTCACAGAGTTGAACCTTTGGTTTGATTGAGCAGTTTTGAGACAATCTTTCCATAGAATCTGGAAGTGAATATTTGGAGAACTTTGAGATCCATTTTGGAGAAGGAGATATCTTTATATGAAAACTACACAGAAGCATTCTGAGAAACATCCTTGTGAGGTGTGCACTGAAGTCACAGTGTTGAAACTGTCTTTTGATTCAGCAGTTTTGAATCTCTCTTTTTGCAGAATCTGTGAGTGGATATTTGGAGCGCTTTGAGGCCTACTGTGGAAAACCAAATATCTTCACATAAAAACTACACAGAAGCATCCTGAGAAACTTTTTTTGTGATGTGGTCTTTCAGCTAATGGAGTAGAAACTATCTTTTGATTGAGCAGTTTTGAGTCTCTCTTTTTGCAGGATCTACGAGTGGATAATTGGAGAACTTTGAGGCGTACTGTGGAAAATCGAATATCTTCGCATAAAAACTACACAGAAGCATTCTGAGAAACTTCTCTGTCATACGTACATTCATCTCACAGGGTTGATCCTATTTCATGATTGAGCAGTTTTGGAACACTCTTTTTGTAGAATCTGCAAGTGAATATTTGGAGCTCTTTGGGGCCTACTGTGGAAAAACAAATATCTTCACATAAAAACTACACAGAAGCATTCTGAGAAACTACTTTGTGATGTGTGCATTCATCCCACAGAGTAGAACCTTTCTTTTGATTGAGCAGTTTCGAAACACTCTTTTGGTGGAATCTGCAAGTGGACATTTGGAAAGCTTTGAGGCCTATTGTGGAAAGGGAAATATCTTCAAATAAAAACCACCCAGAAGTACTCTGTGAAACTTCTTTGCGATGTATGCATTCAACTCACAGTGTTGAACCTATGTTTTGATTGAGCAGTTTGGAATCTCTCTTTCTGTAGAATCTGCAAGTGAATATTTGGAGCCCTATTTCGCCCTATACTGGAAAAGCAATTATCTTCAAATAAAAACTGCACAGAAGCACTCAGAGAAGCTTCTTTGTGATGAATGCATTCATCACACAGAGTTGAACCTTTGTTTTGATTTAGCAGTTTGAGACAATCTTTCCGTAGAATCTTGAAGTGAATATTTAGAGGGCTTGGAGTTCTGTTTTAGAGAAGAAGATATTTTCATCAAAAACTACACAGAAGCTTTCTGAGAAACTTCTTTGTGATGTGTGCATTCAACTATCGGAGTTGAACCTATCTTATGATTGAGCAGTTTGGAAACACTCTTTGTAGAGTCTGCAAGTGGATATTTACAGAGATTTGAGGCCTATTGTGGAAAAGGAAGTATCTTCACATAAAAACCACACAGAAGCACTCTGAAAAACATCTTTGGGATGTGTGCATTCAACTAACCGTGTTGAAACAATGTTTTGATTGAGCAGCTTAGAATCTCTCTTTTTGTAGGAAATGCAAGTGGATATTTGGAGCCCCATTTCGCCCTATGGTGGAAAACGAAACATACTCACAAAAAAGCTGCAGAGAAGCATTCTGAGAAACTTCTTTGCGATGTTGGCATTCAACTCACAGAGTCGAATCTATCTTTTGATAGAGCAGTTTTGTATCTCTCTTTTTGCAGAATCTGCAAGTGGATATTTGGAAAGCTTTGAGGCCTATTGTGGAAAGGGAAATATCCTCAAATAAAAACTACCCAGAAGCACTCTGTGAAACTTCTTTGTGATGTGTGCATTCAACTCACAGTGTTGAACCTATGTTTTGATTGAGCAGTTTGGAATCTCTCCTTTTGTAGAATCTGCAAGTGAATATTTGGAGCCCTATTTCGCCCTATACTGGAAAAGCAAATATCTTCAAATAAAAACTACACAGAGGCATTCAGAGAAACTTCTCTGTGATGAGTGCATTCATCACACAGAGTTGAACATTTGTTTAGATTTAGCAGTGTTGAGACAATCTTTCCGTAGAATCTTGAAGTGAATATTTGGAGGGCTTTGAGACCTGCTTTGGAGAAGGAGATATCTTCATATAAAAACTACACAGAAGCTTTCTGAGAAACACCCTTGTGAGGTGTGCATTGAAGTCACAGAGTTAAACCTATCTTTTGATTCAGCAGATTTGAATCTCTCTTTTTGCAGAATCTGCGAGTGGATATTTGGAGTGCTTGGAAGCCTGCTGTGGAAAATCAAATATCTTCACAAAAAAAACTACACAGAAGCATTCTGAGAAACTTCTTTGTGATGTGTGCATTGATCTCACAGAGTTGAAAGTTTATTTTGATTGAGCTGTTTTGAAACACTCTTTTTCTAGAATCTGCAAGTGGATAATTGGGGAGATTTGAGGCATATTGTGGAAAAGCAAATATCTTCATATAGAAACTATACAGAAACCTTCTGAGAAACATCTTTGTGATGTGTGCATTCAGCTCACAGAGCTGGACCTAACTTTTGAGTGACCAGTTTTGAATCTCTCTTTTTGTACAATATGCAAGTGGATATTTGGAGCGATTTGAGGCCTACATTTGAAAATCAAATATCTTCCCTTAAAAACTACACAGAAACATTCTCAGAAATTGTTTGTCATGTGTGCTTTCCAATTACCAAGTTGAACCTATCTTGTGATTGAGCAGTTTTGAATCTCTCTTTTTGTGGAATCGGCAAGTGGATATTTTTAGCCCTTTGCGGACTGCGGTGGAAAAGGAATTATCTTCAAATCAATTCTACACAGAAGCATTCAGACAAACTTCTTTGTGATGAGTGCATTGGTCACACAGAATTGAACCTTCCCTTTGATTGAGCAATTCTGAAACACTCTTTTGGAGGGTCTGCAAGTGGACATTTTAGAGCTTTGGGACAACTGTGGAAAAGTAAATATCTTCACATAAAAACTACACGGAAGCATTCTGAGAAACTTCTTTGGAGGTGTGCATTCAACTCGCAGAGTTGAACCTATCTTTTCATTGAGCAGTTTTGAATCTCTCATTTTGTAGACTCTGCTCGCAGATATTTGGAGAGCTTTGAGGCCTATTGTGGAAAAGGAAATATCTTCACATAAAAACACACAGAAGCACTCTGAGAAACTTCTTTGTGAGGTGTGCTTTCAACTCACAGAGTTGAACCTATCTTTTGATTGAGAAGTTTTGAATCTCTCTTTTTGTAGAAGCTGCATGTGGATATTTGGAGACGTTTGTGGCCTATGGTAGAAAAGAAAATATCTTCAAATAAAAACTAGACAGACGCATTTTGAGAAAATTCTCTGTGCTGTGTGCATTCATATCACATGGTTGAAACTACCTTTGGATTGAGCAGTTTTGAATCTCACTTTTTGTACCATCTGCAATGGATATTTGGAGCCCTTTCTGGTCTGTGGTGGAAAAGGAACTATCCTCAAATAGAAACTACACAGAAGTACTCTGAGAAACTTCTTTGTGATGTGGGCATTCATCTCACAGAGTTGAACCTTTGGTTTGATTGAGCAGTTTTGAGACAATCTTTCCATAGAATCTGGAAGTGAATATTTGGAGAACTTTGAGATCCATTTTGGAGAAGGAGACATCTTTATATGAAAACTACACAGAAGCATTCTGAGAAACATCCTTGTGAGGTGTGCACTGAAGTCACAGAGTTGAAACTGTCTTTTGATTCAGCAGTTTTGAATCTCTCTTTTTGCAGAATCTGTGAGTGGATATTTGGAGCGCTTTGAGGCCTACTGTGGAAAACCAAATATCTTCACATAAAAACTACACAGAAGCATCCTGAGAAACTTTTTTTGTGATGTGGTCTTTCAGCTAATGGAGTAGAAACTATCTTTTGATTGAGCAGTTTTGAATCTCTCTTTTTGCAGGATCTACGAGTGGCTAATTGGAGAACTTTGAGGCGTACTGTGGAAAGTCGAATATCTTCGCATAAAAACTACACAGAAGCATTCTGAGAAACTTCTCTGTCATACGTACATTCATCTCACAGGGTTGATCCTATTTCATGATTGAGCAGTTTTGGAACACTCTTTTTGTAGAATCTGCAAGTGAATATTTGGAGCTCTTTGGGGCCTACTGTGGAAAAACAAATATCTTCACATAAAAACTACACAGAAGCATTCTGAGAAACTACTTTGTGATGTGTGCATTCATCCCACAGAGTAGAACCTTTCTTTTGATTGAGCAGTTTCGAAACACTCTTTTGGTGGAATCTGCAAGTGGACATTTGGAAAGCTTTGAGGCCTATTGTGGAAAGGGAAATATCTTCAAATAAAAACCACCCAGAAGTACTCTGTGAAACTTCTTTGCGATGTATGCATTCAACTCACAGTGTTGAACCTATGTTTTGATTGAGCAGTTTGGAATCTCTCTTTCTGTAGAATCTGCAAGTGAATATTTGGAGCCCTATTTCGCCCTATACTGGAAAAGCAATTATCTTCAAATAAAAACTGCACAGAAGCACTCAGAGAAACTTCTTTGTGATGAATGCATTCATCACACAGAGTTGAACCTTTGTTTTGATTTAGCAGTTTGAGACAATCTTTCCGTAGAATCTTGAAGTGAATATTTGGAGGGCTTGGAGTTCTGTTTTAGAGAAGAAGATATCTTCATCAAAAACTACACAGAAGCTTTCTGAGAAACTTCTTTGTGATGTGTGCATTCAACTATCGGAGTTGAACCTATCTTATGATTGAGCAGTTTGGAAACACTCTTTGTGGAGTCTGCAAGTGGATATTTACAGAGATTTGAGGCCTATTGTGGAAAAGGAAGTATCTTCACATAAAAACCACACAGAAGCACTCTGAAAAACATCTTTGGGATGTGTGCATTCAACTAACCGTGTTGAAACAATGTTTTGATTGAGCAGCTTAGAATCTCTCTTTTTGTAGGAAATGCAAGTGGATATTTGGAGCCCCATTTCGCCCTATGGTGGAAAAGGAAACATACTCACAAAAAAGCTGCAGAGAAGCATTCTGAGAAACTTCTTTGCGATGTTGGCATTCAACTCACAGAGTCGAATCTATCTTTTGATAGAGCAGTTTTGTATCTCTGTTTTTGCAGAATCTGCAAGTGGATATTTGGAAAGCTTTGAGGCCTATTGTGGAAAGGGAAATATCCTCAAATAAAAACTACCCAGAAGCACTCTGTGAAACTTCTTTGTGATGTGTGCATTCAACTCACAGTGTTGAACCTATGTTTTGATTGAGCAGTTTGGAATCTCTCCTTTTGTAGAATCTGCAAGTGAATATTTGGAGCCCTATTTCGCCCTATACTGGAAAAGCAAATATCTTCAAATAAAAACTACACAGAGGCATTCAGAGAAACTTCTCTGTGATGAGTGCATTCATCACACAGAGTTGAACATTTGTTTAGATTTAGCAGTGTTGAGACAATCTTTCCGTAGAATCTTGAAGTGAATATTTGGAGGGCTTTGAGACCTGCTTTGGAGAAGGAGATATCTTCATATAAAAACTACACAGAAGCTTTCTGAGAAACACCCTTGTGAGGTGTGCATTGAAGTCACAGAGTTAAACCTATCTTTTGATTCAGCAGATTTGAATCTCTCTTTTTGCAGAATCTGCGAGTGGATATTTGGAGTGCTTGGAAGCCTGCTGTGGAAAATCAAATATCTTCACAAAAAAAACTACACAGAAGCATTCTGAGAAACTTCTTTGTGATGTGTGCATTGATCTCACAGAGTTGAAAGTTTATTTTGATTGAGCTGTTTTGAAACACTCTTTTTCTAGAATCTGCAAGTGGATAATTGGGGAGATTTGAGGCATATTGTGGAAAAGCAAATATCTTCATATAGAAACTATACAGAAACCTTCTGAGAAACATCTTTGTGATGTGTGCATTCAGCTCACAGAGCTGGACCTAACTTTTGAGTGACCAGTTTTGAATCTCTCTTTTTGTACAATATGCAAGTGGATATTTGGAGCGATTTGAGGCCTACATTTGAAAATCAAATATCTTCCCTTAAAAACTACACAGAAACATTCTCAGAAATTGTTTGTCATGTGTGCTTTCCAATTACCAAGTTGAACCTATCTTGTGATTGAGCAGTTTTGAATCTCTCTTTTTGTGGAATCGGCAAGTGGATATTTTTAGCCCTTTGCGGACTGTGGTGGAAAAGGAATTATCTTCAAATCAATTCTACACAGAAGCATTCAGACAAACTTCTTTGTGATGAGTGCATTGGTCACACAGAATTGAACCTTCCCTTTGATTGAGCAATTCTGAAACACTCTTTTGGAGGGTCTGCAAGTGGACATTTTAGAGCTTTGGGACAACTGTGGAAAAGTAAATATCTTCACATAAAAACTACACGGAAGCATTCTGAGAAACTTCTTTGGAGGTGTGCATTCAACTCACAGAGTTGAACCTATCTTTTCATTGAGCAGTTTTGAATCTCTCATTTTGTAGACTCTGCTCGCAGATATTTGGAGAGCTTTGAGGCCTATTGTGGAAAAGGAAATATCTTCACATAAAAACACACAGAAGCACTCTGAGAAACTTCTCTGTGAGGTGTGCTTTCAACTCACAGAGTTGAACCTATCTTTTGATTGAGAAGTTTTGAATCTCTCTTTTTGTAGAAGCTGCATGTGGATATTTGGAGACGTTTGTGGCCTATGGTAGAAAAGGAAATATCTTCAAATAAAAACTAGACAGACGCATTTTGAGAAAATTCTCTGTGCTGTGTGCATTCATATCACATGGTTGAAACTACCTTTGGATTGAGCAGTTTTGAATCTCACTTTTTGTACCATCTGCAATGGATATTTGGAGCCCTTTCTGGTCTGTGGTGGAAAAGGAACTATCCTCAAATAGAAACTACACAGAAGTACTCTGAGAAACTTCTTTGTGATGTGGGCATTCATCTCACAGAGTTGAACCTTTGGTTTGATTGAGCAGTTTTGAGACAATCTTTCCATAGAATCTGGAAGTGAATATTTGGAGAACTTTGAGATCCATTTTGGAGAAGGAGATATCTTTATATAAAAACTACACAGAAGCATTCTGAGAAACATCCTTGTGAGGTGTGCACTGAAGTCACAGAGTTGAAACTGTCTTTTGATTCAGCAGTTTTGAATCTCTCTTTTTGCAGAGTCTGTGAGCGGATATTTGGAGCGCTTTGAGGCCTACTGTGGAAAACCAAATATGTTCACATAAAAACTACACAGAAGCATCCTGAGAAACTTTTTTTGTGATGTGGTCTTTCAGCTAATGGAGTAGAAACTATCTTTTGATTGAGCAGTTTTGAATCTCTCTTTTTGCAGAATCTACGAGTGGATAATTGGAGAACTTTGAGGCGTACTGTGGAAAATCGAATATCTTCGCATAAAAACTACACAGAAGCATTCTGAGAAACTTCTCTGTCATACGTACATTCATCTCACAGGGTTGATCCTATTTCATGATTGAGCAGTTTTGGAACACTCTTTTTGTAGAATCTGCAAGTGAATATTTGGAGCTCTTTGGGGCCTACTGTGGAAAAACAAATATCTTCACATAAAAACTACACAGAAGCATTCTGAGAAACTACTTTGTGATGTGTGCATTCATCCCACAGAGTAGAACCTTTCTTTTGATTGAGCAGTTTCGAAACACTCTTTTGGTGGAATCTGCAAGTGGACATTTGGAAAGCTTTGAGGCCTATTGTGGAAAGGGAAATATCTTCAAATAAAAACCACCCAGAAGTACTCTGTGAAACTTCTTTGCGATGTATGCATTCAACTCACA
Source organism: Homo sapiens (assembly GCF_000001405.40). NCBI lineage: Eukaryota > Metazoa > Chordata > Mammalia > Primates > Hominidae > Homo > Homo sapiens. The sequence continues at coordinate 18,160,257 of NC_000015.10, forward strand.
GTGTTGAACCTATGTTTTGATTGAGCAGTTTGGAATCTCTCTTTCTGTAGAATCTGCAAGTGAATATTTGGAGCCCTATTTCGCCCTATACTGGAAAAGCAATTATCTTCAAATAAAAACTGCACAGAAGCACTCAGAGAAACTTCTTTGTGATGAATGCATTCATCACACAGAGTTGAACCTTTGTTTTGATTTAGCAGTTTGAGACAATCTTTCCGTAGAATCTTGAAGTGAATATTTGGAGGGCTTGGAGGTCTGTTTTAGAGAAGGAGATATCTTCATCAAAAACTGCACAGAAGCTTTCTGAGAAACTTCTTTGTGATGTGTGCATTCAACTATCGGAGTTGAACCTATCTTATGATTGAGCAGTTTGGAAACACTCTTTGTAGAGTCTGCAAGTGGATATTTACAGAGATTTGAGGCCTATTGTGGAAAAGGAAGTATCTTCACATAAAAACCACACAGAAGCACTCTGAAAAACATCTTTGGGATGTGTGCATTCAACTAACCGTGTTGAAACAATGTTTTGATTGAGCAGCTTAGAATCTCTCCTTTTGTAGGAAATGCAAGTGGATATTTGGAGCCCCATTTCGCCCTATGGTGGAAAACGAAACATACTCACAAAAAAGCTGCAGAGAAGCATTCTGAGAAACTTCTTTGCGATGTTGGCATTCAACTCACAGAGTCGAATCTATCTTTTGATAGAGCAGTTTTGTATCTCTCTTTTTGCAGAATCTGCAAGTGGATATTTGGAAAGCTTTGAGGCCTATTGTGGAAAGGGAAATATCCTCAAATAAAAACTACCCAGAAGCACTCTGTGAAACTTCTTTGTGATGTGTGCATTCAACTCACAGTGTTGAACCTATGTTTTGATTGAGCAGTTTGGAATCTCTCCTTTTGTAGAATCTGCAAGTGAATATTTGGAGCCCTATTTCGCCCTATACTGGAAAAGCAAATATCTTCAAATAAAAACTACACAGAGGCATTCAGAGAAACTTCTCTGTGATGAGTGCATTCATCACACAGAGTTGAACATTTGTTTAGATTTAGCAGTGTTGAGACAATCTTTCCGTAGAATCTTGAAGTGAATATTTGGAGGGCTTTGAGACCTGCTTTGGAGAAGGAGATATCTTCATATAAAAACTACACAGAAGCTTTCTGAGAAACACCCTTGTGAGGTGTGCATTGAAGTCACAGAGTTAAACCTATCTTTTGATTCAGCAGATTTGAATCTCTCTTTTTGCAGAATCTGCGAGTGGATATTTGGAGTGCTTGGAAGCCTGCTGTGGAAAATCAAATATCTTCACAAAAAAAACTACACAGAAGCATTCTGAGAAACTTCTTTGTGATGTGTGCATTGATCTCACAGGGTTGAAAGTTTATTTGGATTGAGCTGTTTTGAAACACTCTTTTTCTAGAATCTGCAAGTGGATAATTGGGAGATTTGAGGCATATTGTGGAAAAGCAAATATCTTCATATAGAAACTATACAGAAACCTTCTGAGAAACATCTTTGTGATGTGTGCATTCAGCTCACAGAGCTGGACCTAACTTTTGAGTGACCAGTTTTGAATCTCTCTTTTTGTACAATATGCAAGTGGATATTTGGAGCGATTTGAGGCCTACATTTGAAAATCAAATATCTTCCCTTAAAAACTACACAGAAACATTCTCAGAAATTGTTTGTCATGTGTGCTTTCCAATTACCAAGTTGAACCTATCTTGTGATTGAGCAGTTTTGAATCTCTCTTTTTGTGGAATCGGCAAGTGGATATTTTTAGCCCTTTGCGGACTGTGGTGGAAAAGGAATTATCTTCAAATCAATTCTACACAGAAGCATTCAGACAAACTTCTTTGTGATGAGTGCATTGGTCACACAGAATTGAACCTTCCCTTTGATTGAGCAATTCTGAAACACTCTTTTGGAGGGTCTGCAAGTGGACATTTTAGAGCTTTGGGACAACTGTGGAAAAGTAAATATCTTCACATAAAAACTACACGGAAGCATTCTGAGAAACTTCTTTGGAGGTGTGCATTCAACTCACAGAGTTGAACCTATCTTTTCATTGAGCAGTTTTGAATCTCTCATTTTGTAGACTGTGCTCGCAGATATTTGGAGAGCTTTGAGGCCTATTGTGGAAAAGGAAATATCTTCACATAAAAACACACAGAAGCACTCTGAGAAACTTCTCTGTGAGGTGTGCTTTCAACTCACAGAGTTGAACCTATCTTTTGATTGAGAAGTTTTGAATCTCTCTTTTTGTAGAAGCTGCATGTGGATATTTGGAGACGTTTGTGGCCTATGGTAGAAAAGGAAATATCTTCAAATAAAAACTAGACAGACGCATTTTGAGAAAATTCTCTGTGCTGTGTGCATTCATATCACATGGTTGAAACTACCTTTGGATTGAGCAGTTTTGAATCTCACTTTTTGTACCATCTGCAATGGATATTTGGAGCCCTTTCTGGTCTGTGGTGGAAAAGGAACTATCCTCAAATAGAAACTACACAGAAGTACTCTGAGAAACTTCTTTGTGATGTGGGCATTCATCTCACAGAGTTGAACCTTTGGTTTGATTGAGCAGTTTTGAGACAATCTTTCCATAGAATCTGGAAGTGAATATTTGGAGAACTTTGAGATCCATTTTGGAGAAGGAGATATCTTTATATGAAACCACACAGAAAGCATTCTGAGAAACATCCTTGTGAGGTGTGCACTGAAGTCACAGAGTTGAAACTGTCTTTTGATTCAGCAGTTTTGAATCTCTCTTTTTGCAGAACCTGTGAGTGGATATTTGGAGCGCTTTGAGGCCTACTGTGGAAAACCAAATATCTTCACATAAAAACTACACAGAAGCATCCTGAGAAACTTTTTTTGTGATGTGGTCTTTCAGCTAATGGAGTAGAAACTATCTTTTGATTGAGCAGTTTTGAATCTCTCTTTTTGCAGAATCTACGAGTGGATAATTGGAGAACTTTGAGGCGTACTGTGGAAAATCGAATATCTTCGCATAAAAACTACACAGAAGCATTCTGAGAAACTTCTCTGTCATACGTACATTCATCTCACAGGGTTGATCCTATTTCATGATTGAGCAGTTTTGGAACACTCTTTTTGTAGAATCTGCAAGTGAATATTTGGAGCTCTTTGGGGCCTACTGTGGAAAAACAAATATCTTCACATAAAAACTACACAGAAGCATTCTGAGAAACTACTTTGTGATGTGTGCATTCATCCCACAGAGTAGAACCTTTCTTTTGATTGAGCAGTTTCGAAACACTCTTTTGGTGGAATCTGCAAGTGGACATTTGGAAAGCTTTGAGGCCTATTGTGGAAAGGGAAATATCTTCAAATAAAAACCACCCAGAAGTACTCTGTGAAACTTCTTTGCGATGTATGCATTCAACTCACAGTGTTGAACCTATGTTTTGATTGAGCAGTTTGGAATCTCTCTTTCTGTAGAATCTGCAAGTGAATATTTGGAGCCCTATTTCGCCCTATACTGGAAAAGCAATTATCTTCAAATAAAAACTGCACAGAAGCACTCAGAGAAACTTCTTTGTGATGAATGCATTCATCACACAGAGTTGAACCTTTGTTTTGATTTAGCAGTTTGAGACAATCTTTCCGTAGAATCTTGAAGTGAATATTTGGAGGGCTTGGAGTTCTGTTTTAGAGAAGAAGATATCTTCATCAAAAACTACACAGAAGCTTTCTGAGAAACTTCTTTGTGATGTGTGCCTTCAACTATCGGAGTTGAACCTATCTTATGATTGAGGAGTTTGGAAACACTCTTTGTAGAGTCTGCAAGTGGATATTTACAGAGATTTGAGGCCTATTGTGGAAAAGGAAGTATCTTCACATAAAAACCACACAGAAGCACTCTGAAAAACATCTTTGGGATGTGTGCATTCAACTAACCGTGTTGAAACAATGTTTTGATTGAGCAGCTTAGAATCTCTCTTTTTGTAGGAAATGCAAGTGGATATTTGGAGCCCCATTTCGCCCTATGGTGGAAAACGAAACATACTCACAAAAAAGCTGCAGAGAAGCATTCTGAGAAACTTCTTTGCGATGTTGGCATTCAACTCACAGAGTCGAATCTATCTTTTGATAGAGCAGTTTTGTATCTCTCTTTTTGCAGAATCTGCAAGTGGATATTTGGAAAGCTTTGAGGCCTATTGTGGAAAGGGAAATATCCTCAAATAAAAACTACCCAGAAGCACTCTGTGAAACTTCTTTGTGATGTGTGCATTCAACTCACAGTGTTGAACCTATGTTTTGATTGAGCAGTTTGGAATCTCTCCTTTTGTAGAATCTGCAAGTGAATATTTGGAGCCCTATTTCGCCCTATACTGGAAAAGCAAATATCTTCAAATAAAAACTACACAGAGGCATTCAGAGAAACTTCTCTGTGATGAGTGCATTCATCACACAGAGTTGAACATTTGTTTAGATTTAGCAGTGTTGAGACAATCTTTCCGTAGAATCTTGAAGTGAATATTTGGAGGGCTTTGAGACCTGCTTTGGAGAAGGAGATATCTTCATATAAAAACTACACAGAAGCTTTCTGAGAAACACCCTTGTGAGGTGTGCATTGAAGTCACAGAGTTAAACCTATCTTTTGATTCAGCAGATTTGAATCTCTCTTTTTGCAGAATCTGCGAGTGGATATTTGGAGTGCTTGGAAGCCTGCTGTGGAAAATCAAATATCTTCACAAAAAAAACTACACAGAAGCATTCTGAGAAACTTCTTTGTGATGTGTGCATTGATCTCACAGAGTTGAAAGTTTATTTTGATTGAGCTGTTTTGAAACACTCTTTTTCTAGAATCTGCAAGTGGATAATTGGGGAGATTTGAGGCATATTGTGGAAAAGCAAATATCTTCATATAGAAACTATACAGAAACCTTCTGAGAAACATCTTTGTGATGTGTGCATTCAGCTCACAGAGCTGGACCTAACTTTTGAGTGACCAGTTTTGAATCTCTCTTTTTGTACAATATGCAAGTGGATATTTGGAGCGATTTGAGGCCTACATTTGAAAATCAAATATCTTCCCTTAAAAACTACACAGAAACATTCTCAGAAATTGTATGTCATGTGTGCTTTCCAATTACCAAGTTGAACCTATCTTGTGATTGAGCAGTTTTGAATCTCTCTTTTTGTGGAATCGGCAAGTGGATATTTTTAGCCCTTTGCGGACTGTGGTGGAAAAGGAATTATCTTCAAATCAATTCTACACAGAAGCATTCAGACAAACTTCTTTGTGATGAGTGCATTGGTCACACAGAATTGAACCTTCCCTTTGATTGAGCAATTCTGAAACACTCTTTTGGAGGGTCTGCAAGTGGATATTTTAGAGCTTTGGGACAACTGTGGAAAAGTAAATATCTTCACATAAAAACTACACGGAAGCATTCTGAGAAACTTCTTTGGAGGTGTGCATTCAACTCACAGAGTTGAACCTATCTTTTCATTGAGCAGTTTTGAATCTCTCATTTTGTAGACTCTGCTCGCAGATATTTGGAGAGCTTTGAGGCCTATTGTGGAAAAGGAAATATCCTCACATAAAAACACACAGAAGCACTCTGAGAAACTTCTTTGTGAGGTGTGCTTTCAACTCACAGAGTTGAACCTATCTTTTGATTGAGAAGTTTTGAATCTCTCTTTTTGTGGAAGCTGCATGTGGATATTTGGAGACGTTTGTGGCCTATGGTAGAAAAGGAAATATCTTCAAATAAAAACTAGACAGACGCATTTTGAGAAAATTCTCTGTGCTGTGTGCATTCATATCACATGGTTGAAACTACCTTTGGATTGAGCAGTTTTGAATCTCACTTTTTGTACCATCTGCAATGGATATTTGGAGCCCTTTCTGGTCTGTGGTGGAAAAGGAACTATCCTCAAATAGAAACTACACAGAAGTACTCTGAGAAACTTCTTTGTGATGTGGGCATTCATCTCACAGAGTTGAACCTTTGGTTTGATTGAGCAGTTTTGAGACAATCTTTCCATAGAATCTGGAAGTGAATATTTGGAGAACTTTGAGATCCATTTTGGAGAAGGAGATATCTTTATATAAAAACTACACAGAAGCATTCTGAGAAACATCCTTGTGAGGTGTGCACTGAAGTCACAGAGTTGAAACTGTCTTTTGATTCAGCAGTTTTGAATCTCTCTTTTTGCAGAATCTGTGAGTGGATATTTGGAGCGCTTTGAGGCCTACTGTGGAAAACCAAATATCTTCACATAAAAACTACACAGAAGCATCCTGAGAAACTTTTTTTGTGATGTGGTCTTTCAGCTAATGGAGTAGAAACTATCTTTTGATTGAGCAGTTTTGAATCTCTCTTTTTGCAGGATCTACGAGTGGATAATTGGAGAACTTTGAGGCGTACTGTGGAAAGTCGAATATCTTCGCATAAAAACTACACAGAAGCATTCTGAGAAACTTCTCTGTCATACGTACATTCATCTCACAGGGTTGATCCTATTTCATGATTGAGCAGTTTTGGAACACTCTTTTTGTAGAATCTGCAAGTGAATATTTGGAGCTCTTTGGGGCCTACTGTGGAAAAACAAATATCTTCACATAAAAACTACACAGAAGCATTCTGAGAAACTACTTTGTGATGTGTGCATTCATCCCACAGAGTAGAACCTTTCTTTTGATTGAGCAGTTTCGAAACACTCTTTTGGTGGAATCTGCAAGTGGACATTTGGAAAGCTTTGAGGCCTATTGTGGAAAGGGAAATATCTTCAAATAAAAACCACCCAGAAGTACTCTGTGAAACTTCTTTGCGATGTATGCATTCAACTCACAGTGTTGAACCTATGTTTTGATTGAGCAGTTTGGAATCTCTCTTTCTGTAGAATCTGCAAGTGAATATTTGGAGCCCTATTTCGCCCTATACTGGAAAAGCAATTATCTTCAAATAAAAACTGCACAGAAGCACTCAGAGAAACTTCTTTGTGATGAATGCATTCATCACACAGAGTTGAACCTTTGTTTTGATTTAGCAGTTTGAGACAATCTTTCCGTAGAATCTTGAAGTGAATATTTGGAGGGCTTGGAGTTCTGTTTTAGAGAAGAAGATATCTTCATCAAAAACTACACAGAAGCTTTCCGAGAAACTTCTTTGTGATGTGTGCATTCAACTATCGGAGTTGAACCTATCTTATGATTGAGCAGTTTGGAAACACTCTTTGTAGAGTCTGCAAGTGGATATTTACAGAGATTTGAGGCCTATTGTGGAAAAGGAAGTATCTTCACATAAAAACCACACAGAAGCACTCTGAAAAACATCTTTGGGATGTGTGCATTCAACTAACCGTGTTGAAACAATGTTTTGATTGAGCAGCTTAGAATCTCTCTTTTTGTAGGAAATGCAAGTGGATATTTGGAGCCCCATTTCGCCCTATGGTGGAAAACGAAACATACTCACAAAAAAGCTGCAGAGAAGCATTCTGAGAAACTTCTTTGCGATGTTGGCATTCAACTCACAGAGTCGAATCTATCTTTTGATAGAGCAGTTTTGTATCTCTCTTTTTGCAGAATCTGCAAGTGGATATTTGGAAAGCTTTGAGGCCTATTGTGGAAAGGGAAATATCCTCAAATAAAAACTACCCAGAAGCACTCTGTGAAACTTCTTTGTGATGTGTGCATTCAACTCACAGTGTTGAACCTATGTTTTGATTGAGCAGTTTGGAATCTCTCCTTTTGTAGAATCTGCAAGTGAATATTTGGAGCCCTATTTCACCCTATACTGGAAAAGCAAATATCTTCAAATAAAAACTACACAGAGGCATTCAGAGAAACTTCTCTGTGATGAGTGCATTCATCACACAGAGTTGAACATTTGTTTAGATTTAGCAGTGTTGAGACAATCTTTCCGTAGAATCTTGAAGTGAATATTTGGAGGGCTTTGAGACCTGCTTTGGAGAAGGAGATATCTTCATATAAAAACTACACAGAAGCTTTCTGAGAAACACCCTTGTGAGGTGTGCATTGAAGTCACAGAGTTAAACCTATCTTTTGATTCAGCAGATTTGAATCTCTCTTTTTGCAGAATCTGCGAGTGGATATTTGGAGTGCTTGGAAGCCTGCTGTGGAAAATCAAATATCTTCACAAAAAAAACTACACAGAAGCATTCTGAGAAACTTCTTTGTGATGTGTGCATTGATCTCACAGAGTTGAAAGTTTATTTTGATTGAGCTGTTTTGAAACACTCTTTTTCTAGAATCTGCAAGTGGATAATTGGGGAGATTTGAGGCATATTGTGGAAAAGCCAATATCTTCATATAGAAACTATACAGAAACCTTCTGAGAAACATCTTTGTGATGTGTGCATTCAGCTCACAGAGCTGGACCTAACTTTTGAGTGACCAGTTTTGAATCTCTCTTTTTGTACAATATGCAAGTGGATATTTGGAGCGATTTGAGGCCTACATTTGAAAATCAAATATCTTCCCTTAAAAACTACACAGAAACATTCTCAGAAATTGTTTGTCATGTGTGCTTTCCAATTACCAAGTTGAACCTATCTTGTGATTGAGCAGTTTTGAATCTCTCTTTTTGTGGAATCGGCAAGTGGATATTTTTAGCCCTTTGCGGACTGTGGTGGAAAAGGAATTATCTTCAAATCAATTCTACACAGAAGCATTCAGACAAACTTCTTTGTGATGAGTGCATTGGTCACACAGAATTGAACCTTCCCTTTGATTGAGCAATTCTGAAACACTCTTTTGGAGGGTCTGCAAGTGGATATTTTAGAGCTTTGGGACAGCTGTGGAAAAGTAAATATCTTCACATAAAAACTACACGGAAGCATTCTGAGAAACTTCTTTGGAGGTGTGCATTCAACTCACAGAGTTGAACCTATCTTTTCATTGAGCAGTTTTGAATCTCTCATTTTGTAGACTCTGCTCGCAGATATTTGGAGAGCTTTGAGGCCTATTGTGGAAAAGGAAATATCTTCACATAAAAACACACAGAAGCACTCTGAGAAACTTCTTTGTGAGGTGTGCTTTCAACTCACAGAGTTGAACCTATCTTTTGATTGAGAAGTTTTGAATCTCTCTTTTTGTAGAAGCTGCATGTGGATATTTGGAGACGTTTGTGGCCTATGGTAGAAAAGGAAATATCTTCAAATAAAAACTAGACAGACGCATTTTGAGAAAATTCTCTGTGCTGTGTGCATTCATATCACATGGTTGAAACTACCTTTGGATTGAGCAGTTTTGAATCTCACTTTTTGTACCATCTGCAATGGATATTTGGAGCCCTTTCTGGTCTGTGGTGGAAAAGGAACTATCCTCAAATAGAAACTACACAGAAGTACTCTGAGAAACTTCTTTGTGATGTGGGCATTCATCTCACAGAGTTGAACCTTTGGTTTGATTGAGCAGTTTTGAGACAATCTTTCCATAGAATCTGGAAGTGAATATTTGGAGAACTTTGAGATCCATTTTGGAGAAGGAGATATCTTTATATGAAAACTACACAGAAGCATTCTGAGAAACATCCTTGTGAGGTGTGCACTGAAGTCACAGAGTTGAAACTGTCTTTTGATTCAGCAGTTTTGAATCTCTCTTTTTGCAGAGTCTGTGAGTGGATATTTGGAGCGCTTTGAGGCCTACTGTGGAAAACCAAATATCTTCACATAAAAACTACACAGAAGCATCCTGAGAAACTTTTTTTGTGATGTGGTCTTTCAGCTAATGGAGTAGAAACTATCTTTTGATTGAGCAGTTTTGAATCTCTCTTTTTGCAGAATCTACGAGTGGATAATTGGAGAACTTTGAGGCGTACTGTGGAAAATCGAATATCTTCGCATAAAAACTACACAGAAGCATTCTGAGAAACTTCTCTGTCATACGTACATTCATCTCACAGGGTTGATCCTATTTCATGATTGAGCAGTTTTGGAACACTCTTTTTGTAGAATCTGCAAGTGAATATTTGGAGCTCCTTGGGGCCTACTGTGGAAAAACAAATATCTTCACATAAAAACTACACAGAAGCATTCTGAGAAACTACTTTGTGATGTGTGCATTCATCCCACAGAGTAGAACCTTTCTTTTGATTGAGCAGTTTCGAAACACTCTTTTGGTGGAATCTGCAAGTGGACATTTGGAAAGCTTTGAGGCCTATTGTGGAAAGGGAAATATCTTCAAATAAAAACCACCCAGAAGTACTCTGTGAAACTTCTTTGCGATGTATGCATTCAACTCACAGTTTTGAACCTATGTTTTGATTGAGCAGTTTGGAATCTCTCTTTCTGTAGAATCTGCAAGTGAATATTTGGAGCCCTATTTCGCCCTATACTGGAAAAGCAATTATCTTCAAATAAAAACTGCACAGAAGCACTCAGAGAAACTTCTTTGTGATGAATGCATTCATCACACAGAGTTGAACCTTTGTTTTGATTTAGCAGTTTGAGACAATCTTTCCGTAGAATCTTGAAGTGAATATTTGGAGGGCTTGGAGTTCTGTTTTAGAGAAGAAGATATCTTCATCAAAAACTACACAGAAGCTTTCTGGGAAACTTCTTTGTGATGTGTGCATTCAACTATCGGAGTTGAACCTATCTTATGATTGAGCAGTTTGGAAACACTCTTTGTAGAGTCTGCAAGTGGATATTTACAGAGATTTGAGGCCTATTGTGGAAAAGGAAGTATCTTCACATAAAAACCACACAGAAGCACTCTGAAAAACATCTTTGGGATGTGTGCATTCAACTAACCGTGTTGAAACAATGTTTTGATTGAGTAGCTTAGAATTTCTCTTTTTGTAGGAAATGCAAGTGGATATTTGGAGCCCCATTTCGCCCTATGGTGGAAAACGAAACATACTCACAAAAAAGCTGCAGAGAAGCATTCTGAGAAACTTCTTTGCGATGTTGGCATTCAACTCACAGAGTCGAATCTATCTTTTGATAGAGCAGTTTTGTATCTCTGTTTTTGCAGAATCTGCAAGTGGATATTTGGAAAGCTTTGAGGCCTATTGTGGAAAGGGAAATATCCTCAAATAAAAACTACCCAGAAGCACTCTGTGAAACTTCTTTGTGATGTGTGCATTCAACTCACAGTGTTGAACCTATGTTTTGATTGAGCAGTTTGGAATCTCTCCTTTTGTAGAATCTGCAAGTGAATATTTGGAGCCCTATTTCGCCCTATACTGGAAAAGCAAATATCTTCAAATAAAAACTACACAGAGGCATTCAGAGAAACTTCTCTGTGATGAGTGCATTCATCACACAGAGTTGAACATTTGTTTAGATTTAGCAGTGTTGAGACAATCTTTCCGTAGAATCTTGAAGTGAATATTTGGAGGGCTTTGAGACCTGCTTTGGAGAAGGAGATATCTTCATATAAAAACTACACAGAAGCTTTCTGAGAAACACCCTTGTGAGGTGTGCATTGAAGTCACAGAGTTAAACCTATCTTTTGATTCAGCAGATTTGAATCTCTCTTTTTGCAGAATCTGCGAGTGGATATTTGGAGTGCTTGGAAGCCTGCTGTGGAAAATCAAATATCTTCACAAAAAAAACTACACAGAAGCATTCTGAGAAACTTCTTTGTGATGTGTGCATTGATCTCACAGAGTTGAAAGTTTATTTGGATTGAGCTGTTTTGAAACACTCTTTTTCTAGAATCTGCAAGTGGATAATTGGGGAGATTTGAGGCATATTGTGGAAAAGCAAATATCTTCATATAAAAACTATACAGAAACCTTCTGAGAAACAACTTTGTGATGTGTGCATTCAGCTCACAGAGCTGGACCTAACTTTTGAGTGACCAGTTTTGAATCTCTCTTTTTGTACAATATGCAAGTGGATATTTGGAGCGATTTGAGGCCTACATTTGAAAATCAAATATCTTCCCTTAAAAACTACACAGAAACATTCTCAGAAATTGTTTGTCATGTGTGCTTTCCAATTACCAAGTTGAACCTATCTTGTGATTGAGCAGTTTTGAATCTCTCTTTTTGTGGAATCGGCAAGTGGATATTTTTAGCCCTTTGCGGACTGTGGTGGAAAAGGAATTATCTTCAAATCAATTCTACACAGAAGCATTCAGACAAACTTCTTTGTGATGAGTGCATTGGTCACACAGAATTGAACCTTCCCTTTGATTGAGCAATTCTGAAACACTCTTTTGGAGGGTCTGCAAGTGGATATTTTAGAGCTTTGGGACAACTGTGGAAAAGTAAATATCTTCACATAAAAACTACACGGAAGCATTCTGAGAAACTTCTTTGGAGGTGTGCATTCAACTCACAGAGTTGAACCTATCTTTTCATTGAGCAGTTTTGAATCTCTCATTTTGTAGACTCTGCTCGCAGATATTTGGAGAGCTTTGAGGCCTATTGTGGAAAAGGAAATATCTTCACATAAAAACACACAGAAGCACTCTGAGAAACTTCTTTGTGAGGTGTGCTTTCAACTCACAGAGTTGAACCTATCTTTTGATTGAGAAGTTTTGAATCTCTCTTTTTGTAGAAGCTGCATGTGGATATTTGGAGACGTTTGTGGCCTATGGTAGAAAAGGAAATATCTTCAAATAAAAACTAGACAGACGCATTTTGAGAAAATTCTCTGTGCTGTGTGCATTCATATCACATGGTTGAAACTACCTTTGGATTGAGCAGTTTTGAATCTCACTTTTTGTACCATCTGCAATGGATATTTGGAGCCCTTTCTGGTCTGTGGTGGAAAAGGAACTATCCTCAAATAGAAACTACACAGAAAGTACTCTGAGAAACTTCTTTGTGATGTGGGCATTCATCTCACAGAGTTGAACCTTTGGTTTGATTGAGCAGTTTTGAGACAATCTTTCCATAGAATCTGGAAGTGAATATTTGGAGAACTTTGAGATCCATTTTGGAGAAGGAGATATCTTTATATGAAAACTACACAGAAGCATTCTGAGAAACATCCTTGTGAGGTGTGCACTGAAGTCACAGAGTTGAAACTGTCTTTTGATTCAGCAGTTTTGAATCTCTCTTTTTGCAGAATCTGTGAGCGGATATTTGGAGCGCTTTGAGGCCTACTGTGGAAAACCAAATATCTTCACATAAAAACTACACAGAAAGCATCCTGAGTAAACTTTTTTTGTGATGTGGTCTTTCAGCTAATGGAGTAGAAACTATCTTTTGATTGAGCAGTTTTGAATCTCTCTTTTTGCAGAATCTACGAGTGGATAATTGGAGAACTTTGAGGCGTACTGTGGAAAATCGAATATCTTCGCATAAAAACTACACAGAAGCATTCTGAGAAACTTCTCTGTCATACGTACATTCATCTCACAGGGTTGATCCTATTTCATGATTGAGCAGTTTTGGAACACTCTTTTTGTAGAATCTGCAAGTGAATATTTGGAGCTCTTTGGGGCCTACTGTGGAAAAACAAATATCTTCACATAAAAACTACACAGAAGCATTCTGAGAAACTACTTTGTGATGTGTGCATTCATCCCACAGAGTAGAAACTTTCTTTTGATTGAGCAGTTTCGAAACACTCTTTTGGTGGAATCTGCAAGTGGACATTTGGAAAGCTTTGAGGCCTATTGTGGAAAGGGAAATATCTTCAAATAAAAACCACCCAGAAGTACTCTGTGAAACTTCTTTGCGATGTATGCATTCAACTCACAGTGTTGAACCTATGTTTTGATTGAGCAGTTTGGAATCTCTCTTTCTGTAGAATCTGCAAGTGAATATTTGGAGCCCTATTTCGCCCTATACTGGAAAAGCAATTATCTTCAAATAAAAACTGCACAGAAGCACTCAGAGAAACTTCTTTGTGATGAATGCATTCATCACACAGAGTTGAACCTTTGTTTTGATTTAGCAGTTTGAGACAATCTTTCCGTAGAATCTTGAAGTGAATATTTGGAGGGCTTGGAGTTCTGTTTTAGAGAAGAAGATATCTTCATCAAAAACTACACAGAAGCTTTCCGAGAAACTTCTTTGTGATGTGTGCATTCAACTATCGGAGTTGAACCTATCTTATGATTGAGCAGTTTGGAAACACTCTTTGTAGAGTCTGCAGGTGGATATTTACAGAGATTTGAGGCCTATTGTGGAAAAGGAAGTATCTTCACATAAAAACCACACAGAAGCACTCTGAAAAACATCTTTGGGATGTGTGCATTCAACTAACCGTGTTGAAACAATGTTTTGATTGAGCAGCTTAGAATCTCTCTTTTTGTAGGAAATGCAAGTGGATATTTGGAGCCCCATTTCGCCCTATGGTGGAAAACGAAACATACTCACAAAAAAGCTGCAGAGAAGCATTCTGAGAAACTTCTTTGCGATGTTGGCATTCAACTCACAGAGTCGAATCTATCTTTTGATAGAGCAGTTTTGTATCTCTCTTTTTGCAGAATCTGCAAGTGGATATTTGGAAAGCTTTGAGGCCTATTGTGGAAAGGGAAATATCCTCAAATAAAAACTACCCAGAAGCACTCTGTGAAACTTCTTTGTGATGTGTGCATTCAACTCACAGTGTTGAACCTATGTTTTGATTGAGCAGTTTGGAATCTCTCCTTTTGTAGAATCTGCAAGTGAATATTTGGAGCCCTATTTCGCCCTATACTGGAAAAGCAAATATCTTCAAATAAAAACTACACAGAGGCATTCAGAGAAACTTCTCTGTGATGAGTGCATTCATCACACAGAGTTGAACATTTGTTTAGATTTAGCAGTGTTGAGACAATCTTTCCGTAGAATCTTGAAGTGAATATTTGGAGGGCTTTGAGACCTGCTTTGGAGAAGGAGATATCTTCATATAAAAACTACACAGAAGCTTTCTGAGAAACACCCTTGTGAGGTGTGCTTTGAAGTCACAGAGTTAAACCTATCTTTTGATTCAGCAGATTTGAATCTCTCTTTTTGCAGAATCTGCGAGTGGATATTTGGAGTGCTTGGAAGCCTGCTGTGGAAAATCAAATATCTTCACAAAAAAAACTACACAGAAGCATTCTGAGAAACTTCTTTGTGATGTGTGCATTGATCTCACAGAGTTGAAAGTTTATTTTGATTGAGCTGTTTTGAAACACTCTTTTTCTAGAATCTGCAAGTGGATAATTGGGGAGATTTGAGGCATATTGTGGAAAAGCAAATATCTTCATATAGAAACTATACAGAAACCTTCTGAGAAACATCTTTGTGATGTGTGCATTCAGCTCACAGAGCTGGACCTAACTTTTGAGTGACCAGTTTTGAATCTCTCTTTTTGTACAATATGCAAGTGGATATTTGGAGCGATTTGAGGCCTACATTTGAAAATCAAATATCTTCCCTTAAAAACTACACAGAAACATTCTCAGAAATTGTATGTCATGTGTGCTTTCCAATTACCAAGTTGAACCTATCTTGTGATTGAGCAGTTTTGAATCTCTCTTTTTGTGGAATCGGCAAGTGGATATTTTTAGCCCTTTGCGGACTGTGGTGGAAAAGGAATTATCTTCAAATCAATTCTACACAGAAGCATTCAGCACAAACTTCTTTGTGATGAGTGCATTGGTCACACAGAATTGAACCTTCCCTTTGATTGAGCAATTCTGAAACACTCTTTTGGAGGGTCTGCAAGTGGACATTTTAGAGCTTTGGGACAACTGTGGAAAAGTAAATACCTTCACATAAAAACTGCACGGAAGCATTCTGAGAAACTTCTTTGGAGGTGTGCATTCAACTCACAGAGTTGAACCTATCTTTTCATTGAGCAGTTTTGAATCTCTCATTTTGTAGACTCTGCTCGCAGATATTTGGAGAGCTTTGAGGCCTATTGTGGAAAAGGAAATATCTTCACATAAAAACACACAGAAGCACTCTGAGAAACTTCTTTGTGAGGTGTGCTTTCAACTCACAGAGTTGAACCTATCTTTTGATTAAGAAGTTTTGAATCTCTCTTTTTGTAGAAGCTGCATGTGGATATTTGGAGACGTTTGTGGCCTATGGTAGAAAAGGAAATATCTTCAAATAAAAACTAGACAGACGCATTTTGAGAAAATTCTCTGTGCTGTGTGCATTCATATCACATGGTTGAAACTACCTTTGGATTGAGCAGTTTTGAATCTCACTTTTTGTACCATCTGCAATGGATATTTGGAGCCCTTTCTGGTCTGTGGTGGAAAAGGAACTATCCTCAAATAGAAACTACACAGAAGTACTCTGAGAAACTTCTTTGTGATGTGGGCATTCATCTCACAGAGTTGAACCTTTGGTTTGATTGAGCAGTTTTGAGACAATCTTTCCATAGAATCTGGAAGTGAATATTTGGAGAACTTTGAGATCCATTTTGGAGAAGGAGATATCTTTATATAAAAACTACACAGAAGCATTCTGAGAAACATCCTTGTGAGGTGTGCACTGAAGTCACAGAGTTGAAACTGTCTTTTGATTCAGCAGTTTTGAATCTCTCTTTTTGCAGAATCTGTGAGTGGATATTTGGAGCGCTTTGAGGCCTACTGTGGAAAACCAAATATCTTCACATAAAAACTACACAGAAGCATCCTGAGAAACTTTTTTTGTGATGTGGTCTTTCAGCTAATGGAGTAGAAACTATCTTTTGATTGAGCAGTTTTGAATCTCTCTTTTTGCAGAATCTACGAGTGGATAATTGGAGAACTTTGAGGCGTACTGTGGAAAATCGAATATCTTCGCATAAAAACTACACAGAAGCATTCTGAGAAACTTCTCTGTCATACGTACATTCATCTCACAGGGTTGATCCTATTTCATGATTGAGCAGTTTTGGAACACTCTTTTTGTAGAATCTGCAAGTGAATATTTGGAGCTCTTTGGGGCCTACTGTGGAAAAACAAATATCTTCACATAAAAACTACACAGAAGCATTCTGAGAAACTACTTTGTGATGTGTGCATTCATCCCACAGAGTAGAACCTTTCTTTTGATTGAGCAGTTTCGAAACACTCTTTTGGTGGAATCTGCAAGTGGACATTTGGAAAGCTTTGAGGCCTATTGTGGAAAGGGAAATATCTTCAAATAAAAACCACCCAGAAGTACTCTGTGAAACTTCTTTGTGATGTATGCATTCAACTCACAGTGTTGAACCTATGTTTTGATTGAGCAGTTTGGAATCTCTCTTTCTGTAGAATCTGCAAGTGAATATTTGGAGCCCTATTTCGCCCTATACTGGAAAAGCAATTATCTTCAAATAAAAACTGCACAGAAGCATTCAGAGAAACTTCTTTGAGATGGATGCATTCATGACACAGAGTTGAAACTTTGTTTTGATTTAGGAGTTTTGAGACAATCTTTCCGTAGAATCTTGAAGTGAATATTTGGAGGGCTTGGAGTTCTGTTTTAGAGAAGAAGATATCTTCATCAAAAACTACACAGAAGCTTTCTGAGAAACTTCTTTGTGATGTGTGCATTCAACTATCGGAGTTGAACCTATCTTATGATTGAGCAGTTTGGAAACACTCTTTGTAGAGTCTGCAAGTGGATATTTACAGAGATTTGAGGCCTATTGTGGAAAAGGAAGTATCTTCACATAAAAACCACACAGAAGCACTCTGAAAAACATCTTTGGGATGTGTGCATTCAACTAACCGTGTTGAAACAATGTTTTGATTGAGCAGCTTAGAATCTCTCTTTTTGTAGGAAATGCAAGTGGATATTTGGAGCCCCATTTCGCCCTATGGTGGAAAACGAAACATACTCACAAAAAAGCTGCAGAGAAGCATTCTGAGAAACTTCTTTGCGATGTTGGCATTCAACTCACAGAGTCGAATCTATCTTTTGATAGAGCAGTTTTGTATCTCTCTTTTTGCAGAATCTGCAAGTGGATATTTGGAAAGCTTTGAGGCCTATTGTGGAAAGGGAAATATCCTCAAATAAAAACTACCCAGAAGCACTCTGTGAAACTTCTTTGTGATGTGTGCATTCAACTCACAGTGTTGAACCTATGTTTTGATTGAGCAGTTTGGAATCTCTCCTTTTGTAGAATCTGCAAGTGAATATTTGGAGCCCTATTTCGCCCTATACTGGAAAAGCAAATATCTTCAAATAAAAACTACACAGAGGCCTTCAGAGAAACTTCTCTGTGATGAGTGCATTCATCACACAGAGTTGAACATTTGTTTAGATTTAGCAGTGTTGAGACAATCTTTCCGTAGAATCTTGAAGTGAATATTTGGAGGGCTTTGAGACCTGCTTTGGAGAAGGAGATATCTTCATATAAAAACTACACAGAAGCTTTCTGAGAAACACCCTTGTGAGGTGTGCATTGAAGTCACAGAGTTAAACCTATCTTTTGATTCAGCAGATTTGAATCTCTCTTTTTGCAGAATCTGCGAGTGGATATTTGGAGTGCTTGGAAGCCTGCTGTGGAAAATCAAATATCTTCACAAAAAAAACTACACAGAAGCATTCTGAGAAACTTCTTTGTGATGTGTGCATTGATCTCACAGAGTTGAAAGTTTATTTTGATTGAGCTGTTTTGAAACACTCTTTTTCTAGAATCTGCAAGTGGATAATTGGGGAGATTTGAGGCATATTGTGGAAAAGCAAATATCTTCATATAGAAACTATACAGAAACCTTCTGAGAAAAATCTTTGTGATGTGTGCATTCAGCTCACAGAGCTGGACCTAACTTTTGAGTGACCAGTTTTGAATCTTTCTTTTTGTACAATATGCAAGTGGATATTTGGAGCGATTTGAGGCCTACATTTGAAAATCAAATATCTTCCCTTAAAAACTACACAGAAACATTCTCAGAAATTGTTTGTCATGTGTGCTTTCCAATTACCAAGTTGAACCTATCTTGTGATTGAGCAGTTTTGAATCTCTCTTTTTGTGGAATCGGCAAGTGGATATTTTTAGCCCTTTGCGGACTGTGGTGGAAAAGGAATTATCTTCAAATCAATTCTACACAGAAGCATTCAGACAAACTTCTTTGTGATGAGTGCATTGGTCACACAGAATTGAACCTTCCCTTTGATTGAGCAATTCTGAAACACTCTTTTGGAGGGTCTGCAAGTGGACATTTTAGAGCTTTGGGACAACTGTGGAAAAGTAAATATCTTCACATAAAAACTACACGGAAGCATTCTGAGAAACTTCTTTGGAGGTGTGCATTCAACTCACAGAGTTGAACCTATCTTTTCATTGAGCAGTTTTGAATCTCTCATTTTGTAGACTCTGCTCGCAGATATTTGGAGAGCTTTGAGGCCTATTGTGGAAAAGGAAATATCTTCACATAAAAACACACAGAAGCACTCTGAGAAACTTCTTTGTGAGGTGTGCTTTCAACTCACAGAGTTGAACCTATCTTTTGATTGAGAAGTTTTGAATCTCTCTTTTTGTAGAAGCTGCATGTGGATATTTGGAGACGTTTGTGGCCTATGGTAGAAAAGGAAATATCTTCAAATAAAAACTAGACAGACGCATTTTGAGAAAATTCTCTGTGCTGTGTGCATTCATATCACATGGTTGAAACTACCTTTGGATTGAGCAGTTTTGAATCTCACTTTTTGTACCATCTGCAATGGATATCTGGAGCCCTTTCTGGTCTGTGGTGGAAAAGGAACTATCCTCAAATAGAAACTACACAGAAGTACTCTGAGAAACTTCTTTGTGATGTGGGCATTCATCTCACAGAGTTGAACCTTTGGTTTGATTGAGCAGTTTTGAGACAATCTTTCCATAGAATCTGGAAGTGAATATTTGGAGAACTTTGAGATCCATTTTGGAGAAGGAGATATCTTTATATAAAAACTACACAGAAGCATTCTGAGAAACATCCTTGTGAGGTGTGCACTGAAGTCACAGAGTTGAAACTGTCTTTTGATTCAGCAGTTTTGAATCTCTCTTTTTGCAGAATCTGTGAGTGGATATTTGGAGCGCTTTGAGGCCTACTGTGGAAAACCAAATATCTTCACATAAAAACTACACAGAAGCATCCTGAGAAACTTTTTTTGTGATGTGGTCTTTCAGCTAATGGAGTAGAAACTATCTTTTGATTGAGCAGGTTTGAATCTCTCTTTTTGCAGAATCTACGAGTGGATAATTGGAGAACTTTGAGGCGTACTGTGGAAAATCGAATATCTTCGCATAAAAACTACACAGAAGCATTCTGAGAAACTTCTCTGTCATACGTACATTCATCTCACAGGGTTGATCCTATTTCATGATTGAGCAGTTTTGGAACACTCTTTTTGTAGAATCTGCAAGTGAATATTTGGAGCTCCTTGGGGCCTACTGTGGAAAAACAAATATCTTCACATAAAAACTACACAGAAGCATTCTGAGAAACTACTTTGTGATGTGTGCATTCATCCCACAGAGTAGAACCTTTCTTTTGATTGAGCAGTTTCGAAACACTCTTTTGGTGGAATCTGCAAGTGGACATTTGGAAAGCTTTGAGGCCTATTGTGGAAAGGGAAATATCTTCAAATAAAAACCACCCAGAAGTACTCTGTGAAACTTCTTTGCGATGTATGCATTCAACTCACAAGTGTTGAACCTATGTTTTGATTGAGCAGTTTGGAATCTCTCTTTCTGTAGAATCTGCAAGTGAATATTTGGAGCCCTATTTCGCCCTATACTGGAAAAGCAATTATCTTCAAATAAAAACTGCACAGAAGCATTCAGAGAAACTTCTTTGAGATGAATGCATTCATGACACAGAGTTGAAACTTTGTTTTGATTTAGGAGTTTTGAGACAATCTTTCCGTAGAATCTTGAAGTGAATATTTGGAGGGCTTGGAGTTCTGTTTTAGAGAAGAAGATATCTTCATCAAAAACTACACAGAAGCTTTCTGAGAAACTTCTTTGTGATGTGTGCATTCAACTATTGGAGTTGAACCTATCTTATGATTGAGCAGTTTGGAAACACTCTTTGTAGAGTCTGCAAGTGGATATTTACAGAGATTTGAGGCCTATTGTGGAAAAGGAAGTATCTTCACATAAAAACCACACAGAAGCACTCTGAGAAACATCTTTGGGATGTGTGCATTCAACTAACCGTGTTGAAACAATGTTTTGATTGAGCAGCTTAGAATCTCTCTTTTTGTAGGAAATGCAAGTGGATATTTGGAGCCCCATTTCGCCCTATGGTGGAAAACGAAACATACTCACAAAAAAGCTGCAGAGAAGCATTCTGAGAAACTTCTTTGCGATGTTGGCATTCAACTCACAGAGTCGAATCTATCTTTTGATAGAGCAGTTTTGTATCTCTCTTTTTGCAGAATCTGCAAGTGGATATTTGGAAAGCTTTGAGGCCTATTGTGGAAAGGGAAATATCCTCAAATAAAAACTACCCAGAAGCACTCTGTGAAACTTCTTTGTGATGTGTGCATTCAACTCACAGTGTTGAACCTATGTTTTGATTGAGCAGTTTGGAATCTCTCCTTTTGTAGAATCTGCAAGTGAATATTTGGAGCCCTATTTCGCCCTATACTGGAAAAGCAAATATCTTCAAATAAAAACTACACAGAGGCATTCAGAGAAACTTCTCTGTGATGAGTGCATTCATCACACAGAGTTGAACATTTGTTTAGATTTAGCAGTGTTGAGACAATCTTTCCGTAGAATCTTGAAGTGAATATTTGGAGGGCTTTGAGACCTGCTTTGGAGAAGGAGATATCTTCATATAAAAACTACACAGAAGCTTTCTGAGAAACACCCTTGTGAGGTGTGCATTGAAGTCACAGAGTTAAACCTATCTTTTGATTCAGCAGATTTGAATCTCTCTTTTTGCAGAATCTGCGAGTGGATATTTGGAGTGCTTGGAAGCCTGCTGTGGAAAATCAAATATCTTCACAAAAAAAACTACACAGAAGCATTCTGAGAAACTTCTTTGTGATGTGTGCATTGATCTCACAGAGTTGAAAGTTTATTTTGATTGAGCTGTTTTGAAACACTCTTTTTCTAGAATCTGCAAGTGGATAATTGGGGAGATTTGAGGCATATTGTGGAAAAGCAAATATCTTCATATAGAAACTATACAGAAACCTTCTGAGAAACATCTTTGTGATGTGTGCATTCAGCTCACAGAGCTGGACCTAACTTTTGAGTGACCAGTTTTGAATCTCTCTTTTTGTACAATATGCAAGTGGATATTTGGAGCGATTTGAGGCCTACATTTGAAAATCAAATATCTTCCCTTAAAAACTACACAGAAACATTCTCAGAAATTGTTTGTCATGTGTGCTTTCCAATTACCAAGTTGAACCTATCTTGTGATTGAGCAGTTTTGAATCTCTCTTTTTGTGGAATCGGCAAGTGGATATTTTTAGCCCTTTGCGGACTGCGGTGGAAAAGGAATTATCTTCAAATCAATTCTACACAGAAGCATTCAGACAAACTTCTTTGTGATGAGTGCATTGGTCACACAGAATTGAACCTTCCCTTTGATTGAGCAATTCTGAAACACTCTTTTGGAGGGTCTGCAAGTGGACATTTTAGAGCTTTGGGACAACTGTGGAAAAGTAAATATCTTCACATAAAAACTACACGGAAGCATTCTGAGAAACTTCTTTGGAGGTGTGCATTCAACTCACAGAGTTGAACCTATCTTTTCATTGAGCAGTTTTGAATCTCTCATTTTGTAGACTCTGCTCGCAGATATTTGGAGAGCTTTGAGGCCTATTGTGGAAAAGGAAATATCTTCACATAAAAACACACAGAAGCACTCTGAGAAACTTCTCTGTGAGGTGTGCTTTCAACTCACAGAGTTGAACCTATCTTTTGATTGAGAAGTTTTGAATCTCTCTTTTTGTAGAAGCTGCATGTGGATATTTGGAGACGTTTGTGGCCTATGGTAGAAAAGGAAATATCTTCAAATAAAAACTAGACAGACGCATTTTGAGAAAATTCTCTGTGCTGTGTGCATTCATATCACATGGTTGAAACTACCTTTGGATTGAGCAGTTTTGAATCTCACTTTTTGTACCATCTGCAATGGATATTTGGAGCCCTTTCTGGTCTGTGGTGGAAAAGGAACTATCCTCAAATAGAAACTACACAGAAGTACTCTGAGAAACTTCTTTGTGATGTGGGCATTCATCTCACAGAGTTGAACCTTTGGTTTGATTGAGCAGTTTTGAGACAATCTTTCCATAGAATCTGGAAGTGAATATTTGGAGAACTTTGAGATCCATTTTGGAGAAGGAGATATCTTTATATAAAAACTACACAGAAGCATTCTGAGAAACATCCTTGTGAGGTGTGCACTGAAGTCACAGAGTTGAAACTGTCTTTTGATTCAGCAGTTTTGAATCTCTCTTTTTGCAGAATCTGTGAGTGGATATTTGGAGCGCTTTGAGGCCTACTGTGGAAAACCAAATATCTTCACATAAAAACTACACAGAAGCATCCTGAGAAACTTTTTTTGTGATGTGGTCTTTCAGCTAATGGAGTAGAAACTATCTTTTGATTGAGCAGTTTTGAATCTCTCTTTTTGCAGGATCTACGAGTGGATAATTGGAGAACTTTGAGGCGTACTGTGGAAAATCGAATATCTTCGCATAAAAACTACACAGAAGCATTCTGAGAAACTTCTCTGTCATACGTACATTCATCTCACAGGGTTGATCCTATTTCATGATTGAGCAGTTCTGGAACACTCTTTTTGTAGAATCTGCAAGTGAATATTTGGAGCTCTTTGGGGCCTACTGTGGAAAAACAAATATCTTCACATAAAAACTACACAGAAGCATTCTGAGAAACTACTTTGTGATGTGTGCATTCATCCCACAGAGTAGAACCTTTCTTTTGATTGAGCAGTTTCGAAACACTCTTTTGGTGGAATCTGCAAGTGGACATTTGGAAAGCTTTGAGGCCTATTGTGGAAAGGGAAATATCTTCAAATAAAAACCACCCAGAAGTACTCTGTGAAACTTCTTTGCGATGTACGCATTCAACTCACAGTGTTGAACCTATGTTTTGATTGAGCAGTTTGGAATCTCTCTTTCTGTAGAATCTGCAAGTGAATATTTGGAGCCCTATTTCGCCCTATACTGGAAAAGCAATTATCTTCAAATAAAAACTGCACAGAAGCACTCAGAGAAACTTCTTTGAGATGAATGCATTCATGACACAGAGTTGAAACTTTGTTTTGATTTAGGAGTTTTGAGACAATCTTTCCGTAGAATCTTGAAGTGAATATTTGGAGGGCTTGGAGTTCTGTTTTAGAGAAGAAGATATCTTCATCAAAAACTACACAGAATCTTTCTGAGAAACTTCTTTGTGATGTGTGCATTCAACTATCGGAGTTGAACCTATCTTATGATTGAGCAGTTTGGAAACACTCTTTGTAGAGTCTGCAAGTGGATATTTACAGAGATTTGAGGCCTATTGTGGAAAAGGAAGTATCTTCACATAAAAACCACACAGAAGCACTCTGAAAAACATCTTTGGGATGTGTGCATTCAACTAACCGTGTTGAAACAATGTTTTGATTGAGCAGCTTAGAATCTCTCTTTTTGTAGGAAATGCAAGTGGATATTTGGAGCCCCATTTCGCCCTATGGTGGAAAACGAAACATACTCACAAAAAAGCTGCAGAGAAGCATTCTGAGAAACTTCTTTGCGATGTTGGCATTCAACTCACAGAGTCGAATCTATCTTTTGATAGAGCAGTTTTGTATCTCTCTTTTTGCAGAATCTGCAAGTGGATATTTGGAAAGCTTTGAGGCCTATTGTGGAAAGGGAAATATCCTCAAATAAAAACTACCCAGAAGCACTCTGTGAAACTTCTTTGTGATGTGTGCATTCAACTCACAGTGTTGAACCTATGTTTTGATTGAGCAGTTTGGAATCTCTCCTTTTGTAGAATCTGCAAGTGAATATTTGGAGCCCTATTTCGCCCTATACTGGAAAAGCAAATATCTTCAAATAAAAACTACACAGAGGCCTTCAGAGAAACTTCTCTGTGATGAGTGCATTCATCACACAGAGTTGAACATTTGTTTAGATTTAGCAGTGTTGAGACAATCTTTCCGTAGAATCTTGAAGTGAATATTTGGAGGGCTTTGAGACCTGCTTTGGAGAAGGAGATATCTTCATATAAAAACTACACAGAAGCTTTCTGAGAAACACCCTTGTGAGGTGTGCATTGAAGTCACAGAGTTAAACCTATCTTTTGATTCAGCAGATTTGAATCTCTCTTTTTGCAGAATCTGCGAGTGGATATTTGGAGTGCTTGGAAGCCTGCTGTGGAAAATCAAATATCTTCACAAAAAAAACTACACAGAAGCATTCTGAGAAACTTCTTTGTGATGTGTGCATTGATCTCACAGAGTTGAAAGTTTATTTTGATTGAGCTGTTTTGAAACACTCTTTTTCTAGAATCTGCAAGTGGATAATTGGGGAGATTTGAGGCATATTGTGGAAAAGCAAATATCTTCATATAGAAACTATACAGAAACCTTCTGAGAAACATCTTTGTGATGTGTGCATTCAGCTCACAGAGCTGGACCTAACTTTTGAGTGACCAGTTTTGAATCTCTCTTTTTGTACAATATGCAAGTGGATATTTGGAGCGATTTGAGGCCTACATTTGAAAATCAAATATCTTCCCTTAAAAACTACACAGAAACATTCTCAGAAACTGTTTGTCATGTGTGCTTTCCAATTACCAAGTTGAACCTATCTTGTGATTGAGCAGTTTTGAATCTCTCTTTTTGTGGAATCGGCAAGTGGATATTTTTAGCCCTTTGCGGACTGTGGTGGAAAAGGAATTATCTTCAAATCAATTCTACACAGAAGCATTCAGACAAACTTCTTTGTGATGAGTGCATTGGTCACACAGAATTGAACCTTCCCTTTGATTGAGCAATTCTGAAACACTCTTTTGGAGGGTCTGCAAGTGGACATTTTAGAGCTTTGGGACAACTGTGGAAAAGTAAATATCTTCACATAAAAACTACACGGAAGCATTCTGAGAAACTTCTTTGGAGGTGTGCATTCAACTCACAGAGTTGAACCTATCTTTTCATTGAGCAGTTTTGAATCTCTCATTTTGTAGACTCTGCTCGCAGATATTTGGAGAGCTTTGAGGCCTATTGTGGAAAAGGAAATATCTTCACATAAAAACACACAGAAGCACTCTGAGAAACTTCTTTGTGAGGTGTGCTTTCAACTCACAGAGTTGAACCTATCTTTTGATTGAGAAGTTTTGAATCTCTCTTTTTGTAGAAGCTGCATGTGGATATTTGGAGACGTTTGTGGCCTATGGTAGAAAAGGAAATATCTTCAAATAAAAACTAGACAGACGCATTTTGAGAAAATTCTCTGTGCTGTGTGCATTCATATCACATGGTTGAAACTACCTTTGGATTGAGCAGTTTTGAATCTCACTTTTTGTACCATCTGCAATGGATATTTGGAGCCCTTTCTGGTCTGTGGTGGAAAAGGAACTATCCTCAAATAGAAACTACACAGAAGTACTCTGAGAAACTTCTTTGTGATGTGGGCATTCATCTCACAGAGTTGAACCTTTGGTTTGATTGAGCAGTTTTGAGACAATCTTTCCATAGAATCTGGAAGTGAATATTTGGAGAACTTTGAGATCCATTTTGGAGAAGGAGATATCTTTATATAAAAACTACACAGAAGCATTCTGAGAAACATCCTTGTGAGGTGTGCACTGAAGTCACAGAGTTGAAACTGTCTTTTGATTCAGCAGTTTTGAATCTCTCTTTTTGCAGAATCTGTGAGTGGATATTTGGAGCGCTTTGAGGCCTACTGTGGAAAACCAAATATCTTCACATAAAAACTACACAGAAGCATCCTGAGAAACTTTTTTTGTGATGTGGTCTTTCAGCTAATGGAGTAGAAACTATCTTTTGATTGAGCAGTTTTGAATCTCTCTTTTTGCAGGATCTACGAGTGGATAATTGGAGAACTTTGAGGCGTACTGTGGAAAGTCGAATATCTTCGCATAAAAACTACACAGAAGCATTCTGAGAAACTTCTCTGTCATACGTACATTCATCTCACAGGGTTGATCCTATTTCATGATTGAGCAGTTTTGGAACACTCTTTTTGTAGAATCTGCAAGTGAATATTTGGAGCTCTTTGGGGCCTACTGTGGAAAAACAAATATCTTCACATAAAAACTACACAGAAGCATTCTGAGAAACTACTTTGTGATGTGTGCATTCATCCCACAGAGTAGAACCTTTCTTTTGATTGAGCAGTTTCGAAACACTCTTTTGGTGGAATCTGCAAGTGGACATTTGGAAAGCTTTGAGGCCTATTGTGGAAAGGGAAATATCTTCAAATAAAAACCACCCAGAAGTACTCTGTGAAACTTCTTTGCGATGTATGCATTCAACTCACAGTGTTGAACCTATGTTTTGATTGAGCAGTTTGGAATCTCTCTTTCTGTAGAATCTGCAAGTGAATATTTGGAGCCCTATTTCGCCCTATACTGGAAAAGCAATTATCTTCAAATAAAAACTGCACAGAAGCATTCAGAGAAACTTCTTTGAGATGAATGCATTCATGACACAGAGTTGAAACTTTGTTTTGATTTAGGAGTTTTGAGACAATCTTTCCGTAGAATCTTGAAGTGAATATTTGGAGGGCTTGGAGTTCTGTTTTAGAGAAGAAGATATCTTCATCAAAAACTACACAGAAGCTTTCTGAGAAACTTCTTTGTGATGTGTGCATTCAACTATCGGAGTTGAACCTATCTTATGATTGAGCAGTTTGGAAACACTCTTTGTAGAGTCTGCAAGTGGATATTTACAGAGATTTGAGGCCTATTGTGGAAAAGGAAGTATCTTCACATAAAAACCACACAGAAGCACTCTGAAAAACATCTTTGGGATGTGTGCATTCAACTAACCGTGTTGAAACAATGTTTTGATTGAGCAGCTTAGAATCTCTCTTTTTGTAGGAAATGCAAGTGGATATTTGGAGCCCCATTTCGCCCTATGGTGGAAAACGAAACATACTCACAAAAAAGCTGCAGAGAAGCATTCTGAGAAACTTCTTTGCGATGTTGGCATTCAACTCACAGAGTCGAATCTATCTTTTGATAGAGCAGTTTTGTATCTCTCTTTTTGCAGAATCTGCAAGTGGATATTTGGAAAGCTTTGAGGCCTATTGTGGAAAGGGAAATATCCTCAAATAAAAACTACCCAGAAGCACTCTGTGAAACTTCTTTGTGATGTGTGCATTCAACTCACAGTGTTGAACCTATGTTTTGATTGAGCAGTTTGGAATCTCTCCTTTTGTAGAATCTGCAAGTGAATATTTGGAGCCCTATTTCGCCCTATACTGGAAAAGCAAATATCTTCAAATAAAAACTACACAGAGGCATTCAGAGAAACTTCTCTGTGATGAGTGCATTCATCACACAGAGTTGAACATTTGTTTAGATTTAGCAGTGTTGAGACAATCTTTCCGTAGAATCTTGAAGTGAATATTTGGAGGGCTTTGAGACCTGCTTTGGAGAAGGAGATATCTTCATATAAAAACTACACAGAAGCTTTCTGAGAAACACCCTTGTGAGGTGTGCATTGAAGTCACAGAGTTAAACCTATCTTTTGATTCAGCAGATTTGAATCTCTCTTTTTGCAGAATCTGCGAGTGGATATTTGGAGTGCTTGGAAGCCTGCTGTGGAAAATCAAATATCTTCACAAAAAAAACTACACAGAAGCATTCTGAGAAACTTCTTTGTGATGTGTGCATTGATCTCACAGAGTTGAAAGTTTATTTTGATTGAGCTGTTTTGAAACACTCTTTTTCTAGAATCTGCAAGTGGATAATTGGGGAGATTTGAGGCATATTGTGGAAAAGCAAATATCTTCATATAAAAACTATACAGAAACCTTCTGAGAAACATCTTTGTGATGTATGCATTCAGCTCACAGAGCTGGACCTAACTTTTGAGTGACCAGTTTTGAATCTCTCTTTTTGTACAATATGCAAGTGGATATTTGGAGCGATTTGAGGCCTACATTTGAAAATCAAATATCTTCCCTTAAAAACTACACAGAAACATTCTCAGAAATTGTTTGTCATGTGTGCTTTCCAATTACCAAGTTGAACCTATCTTGTGATTGAGCAGTTTTGAATCTCTCTTTTTGTGGAATCGGCAAGTGGATATTTTTAGCCCTTTGCGGACTGTGGTGGAAAAGGAATTATCTTCAAATCAATTCTACACAGAAGCATTCAGACAAACTTCTTTGTGATGAGTGCATTGGTCACACAGAATTGAACCTTCCCTTTGATTGAGCAATTCTGAAACACTCTTTTCGAGGGTCTGCAAGTGGACATTTTAGAGCTTTGGGACAACTGTGGAAAAGTAAATATCTTCACATAAAAACTACACGGAAGCATTCTGAGAAACTTCTTTGGAGGTGTGCATTCAACTCACAGAGTTGAACCTATCTTTTCATTGAGCAGTTTTGAATCTCTCATTTTGTAGACTCTGCTCGCAGATATTTGGAGAGCTTTGAGGCCTATTGTGGAAAAGGAAATATCTTCACATAAAAACACACAGAAGCACTCTGAGAAACTTCTTTGTGAGGTGTGCTTTCAACTCACAGCAGTTGAACCTATCTTTTGATTGAGAAGTTTTGAATCTCTCTTTTTGTAGAAGCTGCATGTGGATATTTGGAGACGTTTGTGGCCTATGGTAGAAAAGGAAATATCTTCAAATAAAAACTAGACAGACGCATTTTGAGAAAATTCTCTGTGCTGTGTGCATTCATATCACATGGTTGAAACTACCTTTGGATTGAGCAGTTTTGAATCTCACTTTTTGTACCATCTGCAATGGATATTTGGAGCCCTTTCTGGTCTGTGGTGGAAAAGGAACTATCCTCAAATAGAAACTACACAGAAGTACTCTGAGAAACTTCTTTGTGATGTGGGCATTCATCTCACAGAGTTGAACCTTTGGTTTGATTGAGCAGTTTTGAGACAATCTTTCCATAGAATCTGGAAGTGAATATTTGGAGAACTTTGAGATCCATTTTGGAGAAGGAGATATCTTTATATGAAAACTACACAGAAGCATTCTGAGAAACATCCTTGTGAGGTGTGCACTGAAGTCACAGAGTTGAAACTGTCTTTTGATTCAGCAGTTTTGAATCTCTCTTTTTGCAGAATCTGTGAGTGGATATTTGGAGCGCTTTGAGGCCTACTGTGGAAAACCAAATATCTTCACATAAAAACTACACAGAAGCATCCTGAGAAACTTTTTTTGTGATGTGGTCTTTCAGCTAATGGAGTAGAAACTATCTTTTGATTGAGCAGTTTTGAATCTCTCTTTTTGAAGGATCTACGAGTGGATAATTGGAGAACTTTGAGGCGTACTGTGGAAAATCGAATATCTTCGCATAAAAACTACACAGAAGCATTCTGAGAAACTTCTTTGTCATACGTACATTCACAGGGTTGATCCTATTTTATTATTGAGCACTTTTGAAACACTCTTTTTGTAGAATCTGCAAGTGAATATTTGGAGCTCATTGGGGCCTACTGTGGAAAAACCAATATCTTCACATAAAAACTACACAGAAGCATTCTGAGCAAACTACTTTGTGATGTGTGCATTCATCCCACAGAGTAGAACCTTTCTTTTGATTGAGCAGTTTCGAAACACTCTTTTGGTGGAATCTGCAAGTGGACATTTGGAAAGCTTTGAGGCCTATTGTGGAAAGGGAAATATCTTCAAATAAAAACCACCCAGAAGTACTCTGTGAAACTTCTTTGCGATGTATGCATTCAACTCACAGTGTTGAACCTATGTTTTGATTGAGCAGTTTGGAATCTCTCTTTCTGTAGAATCTGCAAGTGAATATTTGGAGCCCTATTTCGCCCTATACTGGAAAAGCAATTATCTTCAAATAAAAACTGCACAGAAGCATTCAGAGAAAGTTCTTTGAAATGAATGCATTCATGACACAGAGTTGAAACTTTGTTTTGATTTAGGAGTTTTGAGACAATCTTTCCGTAGAATCTTGAAGTGAATATTTGGAGGGCTTGGAGTTCTGTTTTAGAGAAGGAGATATCTTCATCAAAAACTACACAGAAGCTTTCTGAGAAACTTCTTTGTGATGTGTGCATTCAACTATCGGAGTTGAACCTATCTTATGATTGAGCAGTTTGGAAACACTCTTTGTAGAGTCTGCAAGTGGATATTTACAGAGATTTGAGGCCTATTGTGGAAAAGGAAGTATCTTCACATAAAAACCACACAGAAGCACTCTGAAAAACATCTTTGGGATGTGTGCATTCAACTAACCGTGTTGAAACAATGTTTTGATTGAGCAGCTTAGAATCTCTCTTTTTGTAGGAAATGCAAGTGGATATTTGGAGCCCCATTTCGCCCTATGGTGGAAAACGAAACATACTCACAAAAAAGCTGCAGAGAAGCATTCTGAGAAACTTCTTTGCGATGTTGGCATTCAACTCACAGAGTCGAATCTATCTTTTGATAGAGCAGTTTTGTATCTCTCTTTTTGCAGAATCTGCAAGTGGATATTTGGAAAGCTTTGAGGCCTATTGTGGAAAGGGAAATATCCTCAAATAAAAACTACCCAGAAGCACTCTGTGAAACTTCTTTGTGATGTGTGCATTCAACTCACAGTGTTGAACCTATGTTTTGATTGAGCAGTTTGGAATCTCTCCTTTTGTAGAATCTGCAAGTGAATATTTGGAGCCCTATTTCGCCCTATACTGGAAAAGCAAATATCTTCAAATAAAAACTACACAGAGGCATTCAGAGAAACTTCTCTGTGATGAGTGCATTCATCACACAGAGTTGAACATTTGTTTAGATTTAGCAGTGTTGAGACAATCTTTCCGTAGAATCTTGAAGTGAATATTTGGAGGGCTTTGAGACCTGCTTTGGAGAAGGAGATATCTTCATATAAAAACTACACAGAAGCTTTCTGAGAAACACCCTTGTGAGGTGTGCATTGAAGTCACAGAGTTAAACCTATCTTTTGATTCAGCAGATTTGAATCTCTCTTTTTGCAGAATCTGCAAGTGGATATTTGGAGTGCTTGGAAGCCTGCTGTGGAAAATCAAATATCTTCACAAAAAAAACTACACAGAAGCATTCTGAGAAACTTCTTTGTGATGTGTGCATTGATCTCACAGAGTTGAAAGTTTATTTGGATTGAGCTGTTTTGAAACACTCTTTTTCTAGAATCTGCAAGTGGATAATTGGGGAGATTTGAGGCATATTGTGGAAAAGCAAATATCTTCATATAGAAACTATACAGAAACCTTCTGAGAAACATCTTTGTGATGTGTGCATTCAGCTCACAGAGCTGGACCTAACTTTTGAGTGACCAGTTTTGAATCTCTCTTTTTGTACAATATGCAAGTGGATATTTGGAGCGATTTGAGGCCTACATTTGAAAATCAAATATCTTCCCTTAAAAACTACACAGAAACATTCTCAGAAATTGTTTGTCATGTGTGCTTTCCAATTACCAAGTTGAACCTATCTTGTGATTGAGCAGTTTTGAATCTCTCTTTTTGTGGAATCGGCAAGTGGATATTTTTAGCCCTTTGCGGACTGTGGTGGAAAAGGAATTATCTTCAAATCAATTCTACACAGAAGCATTCAGACAAACTTCTTTGTGATGAGTGCATTGGTCACACAGAATTGAACCTTCCCTTTGATTGAGCAATTCTGAAACACTCTTTTGGAGGGTCTGCAAGTGGATATTTTAGAGCTTTGGGACAACTGTGGAAAAGTAAATATCTTCACATAAAAACTACACGGAAGCATTCTGAGAAACTTCTTTGGAGGTGTGCATTCAACTCACAGAGTTGAACCTATCTTTTCATTGAGCAGTTTTGAATCTCTCATTTTGTAGACTCTGCTCGCAGATATTTGGAGAGCTTTGAGGCCTATTGTGGAAAAGGAAATATCTTCACATAAAAACACACAGAAGCACTCTGAGAAACTTCTTTGTGATGTCTGCATTCAACTCACAGAGTTGAACCTATCTTTTGATTGAGAAGTTTTGAATCTCTCTTTTTGTAGAAGCTGCATGTGGATATCTGGAGACGTTTGTGGCCTATGGTAGAAAAGGAAATATCTTCAAATAAAAACTAGACAGATACGCATTTTGAGAAAATTCTCTGTGCTGTGTGCATTCATATCACATGGTTGAAACTACCTTTGGATTGAGCAGTTTTGAATCTCACTTTTTGTACCATCTGCAATGGATATTTGGAGCCCTTTCTGGTCTGTGGTGGAAAAGGAACTATCCTCAAATAGAAACTACACAGAAGTACTCTGAGAAACTTCTTTGTGATGTGGGCATTCATCTCACAGAGTTGAACCTTTGGTTTGATTGAGCAGTTTTGAGACAATCTTTCCATAGAATCTGGAAGTGAATATTTGGAGAACTTTGAGATCCATTTTGGAGAAGGAGATATCTTTATATAAAAACTACACAGAAGCATTCTGAGAAACATCCTTGTGAGGTGTGCACTGAAGTCACAGAGTTGAAACTGTCTTTTGATTCAGCAGTTTTGAATCTCTCTTTTTGCAGAATCTGTGAGTGGATATTTGGAGCGCTTTGAGGCCTACTGTGGAAAACCAAATATCTTCACATAAAAACTACACAGAAGCATCCTGAGAAACTTTTTTTGTGATGTGGTCTTTCAGCTAATGGAGTAGAAACTATCTTTTGATTGAGCAGTTTTGAATCTCTCTTTTTGCAGAATCTACGAGTGGATAATTGGAGAACTTTGAGGCGTACTGTGGAAAATCGAATATCTTCGCATAAAAACTACACAGAAGCATTCTGAGAAACTTCTCTGTCATACGTACATTCATCTCACAGGGTTGATCCTATTTCATGATGGAGCAGTTTTGGAACACTCTTTTTGTAGAATCTGCAAGTGAATATTTGGAGCTCTTTGGGGCCTACTGTGGAAAAACAAATATCTTCACATAAAAACTACACAGAAGCATTCTGAGAAACTACTTTGTAATGTGTGCATTCATCCCACAGAGTAGAACCTTTCTTTTGATTGAGCAGTTTCGAAACACTCTTTTGGTGGAATCTGCAAGTGGACATTTGGAAAGCTTTGAGGCCTATTGTGGAAAGGGAAATATCTTCAAATAAAAACCACCCAGAAGTACTCTGTGAAACTTCTTTGCGATGTATGCATTCAACTCACAGTGTTGAACCTATGTTTTGATTGAGCAGTTTGGAATCTCTCTTTCTGTAGAATCTGCAAGTGAATATTTGGAGCCCTATTTCGCCCTATACTGGAAAAGCAATTATCTTCAAATAAAAACTGCACAGAAGCATTCAGAGAAACTTCTTTGAGATGAATGCATTCATGACACAGAGTTGAAACTTTGTTTTGATTTAGGAGTTTTGAGACAATCTTTCCGTAGAATCTTGAAGTGAATATTTGGAGGGCTTGGAGTTCTGTTTTAGAGAAGAAGATATCTTCATCAAAAACTACACAGAAGCTTTCTGAGAAACTTCTTTGTGATGTGTGCATTCAACTATCAGAGTTGAACCTATCTTATGATTGAGCAGTTTGGAAACACTCTTTGTAGAGTCTGCAAGTGGATATTTACAGAGATTTGAGGCCTATTGTGGAAAAGGAAGTATCTTCACATAAAAACCACACAGAAGCACTCTGAGAAACATCTTTGGGATGTGTGCATTCAACTAACCGTGTTGAAACAATGTTTTGATTGAGCAGCTTAGAATCTCTCTTTTTGTAGGAAATGCAAGTGGATATTTGGAGCCCCATTTCGCCCTATGGTGGAAAACGAAACATACTCACAAAAAAGCTGCAGAGAAGCATTCTGAGAAACTTCTTTGCGATGTTGGCATTCAACTCACAGAGTCGAATCTATCTTTTGATAGAGCAGTTTTGTATCTCTCTTTTTGCAGAATCTGCAAGTGGATATTTGGAAAGCTTTGAGGCCTATTGTGGAAAGGGAAATATCCTCAAATAAAAACTACCCAGAAGCACTCTGTGAAACTTCTTTGTGATGTGTGCATTCAACTCACAGTGTTGAACCTATGTTTTGATTGAGCAGTTTGGAATCTCTCCTTTTGTAGAATCTGCAAGTGAATATTTGGAGCCCTATTTCGCCCTATACTGGAAAAGCAAATATCTTCAAATAAAAACTACACAGAGGCATTCAGAGAAACTTCTCTGTGATGAGTGCATTCATCACACAGAGTTGAACATTTGTTTAGATTTAGCAGTGTTGAGACAATCTTTCCGTAGAATCTTGAAGTGAATATTTGGAGGGCTTTGAGACCTGCTTTGGAGAAGGAGATATCTTCATATAAAAACTACACAGAAGCTTTCTGAGAAACACCCTTGTGAGGTGTGCATTGAAGTCACAGAGTTAAACCTATCTTTTGATTCAGCAGATTTGAATCTCTCTTTTTGCAGAATCTGCGAGTGGATATTTGGAGTGCTTGGAAGCCTGCTGTGGAAAATCAAATATCTTCACAAAAAAAACTACACAGAAGCATTCTGAGAAACTTCTTTGTGATGTGTGCATTGATCTCACAGAGTTGAAAGTTTATTTTGATTGAGCTGTTTTGAAACACTCTTTTTCTAGAATCTGCAAGTGGATAATTGGGGAGATTTGAGGCATATTGTGGAAAAGCAAATATCTTCATATAGAAACTATACAGAAACCTTCTGAGAAACATCTTTGTGATGTGTGCATTCAGCTCACAGAGCTGGACCTAACTTTTGAGTGACCAGTTTTGAATCTCTCTTTTTGTACAATATGCAAGTGGATATTTGGAGCGATTTGAGGCCTACATTTGAAAATCAAATATCTTCCCTTAAAAACTACACAGAAACATTCTCAGAAATTGTTTGTCATGTGTGCTTTCCAATTACCAAGTTGAACCTATCTTGTGATTGAGCAGTTTTGAATCTCTCTTTTTGTGGAATCGGCAAGTGGATATTTTTAGCCCTTTGCGGACTGTGGTGGAAAAGGAATTATCTTCAAATCAATTCTACACAGAAGCATTCAGACAAACTTCTTTGTGATGAGTGCATTGGTCACACAGAATTGAACCTTCCCTTTGATTGAGCAATTCTGAAACACTCTTTTGGAGGGTCTGCAAGTGGACATTTTAGAGCTTTGGGACAACTGTGGAAAAGTAAATATCTTCACATAAAAACTACACGGAAGCATTCTGAGAAACTTCTTTGGAGGTGTGCATTCAACTCACAGAGTTGAACCTATCTTTTCATTGAGCAGTTTTGAATCTCTCATTTTGTAGACTCTGCTCGCAGATATTTGGAGAGCTTTGAGGCCTATTGTGGAAAAGGAAATATCTTCACATAAAAACACACAGAAGCACTCTGAGAAACTTCTCTGTGAGGTGTGCTTTCAACTCACAGAGTTGAACCTATCTTTTGATTGAGAAGTTTTGAATCTCTCTTTTTGTAGAAGCTGCATGTGGATATTTGGAGACGTTTGTGGCCTATGGTAGAAAAGGAAATATCTTCAAATAAAAACTAGACAGACGCATTTTGAGAAAATTCTCTGTGCTGTGTGCATTCATATCACATGGTTGAAACTACCTTTGGATTGAGCAGTTTTGAATCTCACTTTTTGTACCATCTGCAATGGATATTTGGAGCCCTTTCTGGTCTGTGGTGGAAAAGGAACTATCCTCAAATAGAAACTACACAGAAGTACTCTGAGAAACTTCTTTGTGATGTGGGCATTCATCTCACAGAGTTGAACCTTTGGTTTGATTGAGCAGTTTTGAGACAATCTTTCCATAGAATCTGGAAGTGAATATTTGGAGAACTTTGAGATCCATTTTGGAGAAGGAGATATCTTTATATGAAAACTACACAGAAGCATTCTGAGAAACATCCTTGTGAGGTGTGCACTGAAGTCACAGAGTTGAAACTGTCTTTTGATTCAGCAGTTTTGAATCTCTCTTTTTGCAGAATCTGTGAGCGGATATTTGGAGCGCTTTGAGGCCTACTGTGGAAAACCAAATATCTTCACATAAAAACTACACAGAAGCATCCTGAGAAACTTTTTTTGTGATGTGGTCTTTCAGCTAATGGAGTAGAAACTATCTTTTGATTGAGCAGTTTTGAATCTCTCTTTTTGCAGAATCTACGAGTGGATAATTGGAGAACTTTGAGGCGTACTGTGGAAAATCGAATATCTTCGCATAAAAACTACACAGAAGCATTCTGAGAAACTTCTCTGTCATACGTACATTCATCTCACAGGGTTGATCCTATTTCATGATTGAGCAGTTTTGGAACACTCTTTTTGTAGAATCTGCAAGTGAATATTTGGAGCTCCTTGGGGCCTACTGTGGAAAAACAAATATCTTCACATAAAAACTACACAGAAGCATTCTGAGAAACTACTTTGTGATGTGTGCATTCATCCCACAGAGTAGAACCTTTCTTTTGATTGAGCAGTTTCGAAACACTCTTTTGGTGGAATCTGCAAGTGGACATTTGGAAAGCTTTGAGGCCTATTGTGGAAAGGGAAATATCTTCAAATAAAAACCACCCAGAAGTACTCTGTGAAACTTCTTTGCGATGTATGCATTCAACTCACAGTGTTGAACCTATGTTTTGATTGAGCAGTTTGGAATCTCTCTTTCTGTAGAATCTGCAAGTGAATATTTGGAGCCCTATTTCGCCCTATACTGGAAAAGCAATTATCTTCAAATAAAAACTGCACAGAAGCATTCAGAGAAACTTCTTTGACATGAATGCATTCATTACACAGAGTTGAAACTTTGTTTTGATTTAGGAGTTTTGAGACAATCTTTCCGTAGAATCTTGAAGTGAATATTTGGAGGGCTTGGAGTTCTGTTTTAGAGAAGGAGATATCTTCATCAAAAACTACACAGAAGCTTTCTGAGAAACTTCTTTGTGATGTGTGCATTCAACTATCGGAGTTGAACCTATCTTATGATTGAGCAGTTTGGAAACACTCTTTGTAGAGTCTGCAAGTGGATATTTACAGAGATTTGAGGCCTATTGTGGAAAAGGAAGTATCTTCACATAAAAACCACACAGAAGCACTCTGAAAAACATCTTTGGGATGTGTGCATTCAACTAACCGTGTTGAAACAATGTTTTGATTGAGCAGCTTAGAATCTCTCTTTTTGTAGGAAATGCAAGTGGATATTTGGAGCCCCATTTCGCCCTATGGTGGAAAACGAAACATACTCACAAAAAAGCTGCAGAGAAGCATTCTGAGAAACTTCTTTGCGATGTTGGCATTCAACTCACAGAGTCGAATCTATCTTTTGATAGAGCAGTTTTGTATCTCTCTTTTTGCAGAATCTGCAAGTGGATATTTGGAAAGCTTTGAGGCCTATTGTGGAAAGGGAAATATCCTCAAATAAAAACTACCCAGAAGCACTCTGTGAAACTTCTTTGTGATGTGTGCATTCAACTCACAGTGTTGAACCTATGTTTTGATTGAGCAGTTTGGAATCTCTCCTTTTGTAGAATCTGCAAGTGAATATTTGGAGCCCTATTTCGCCCTATACTGGAAAAGCAAATATCTTCAAATAAAAGCTACACAGAGGCATTCAGAGAAACTTCTCTGTGATGAGTGCATTCATCACACAGAGTTGAACATTTGTTTAGATTTAGCAGTGTTGAGACAATCTTTCCGTAGAATCTTGAAGTGAATATTTGGAGGGCTTTGAGACCTGCTTTGGAGAAGGAGATATCTTCATATAAAAACTACACAGAAGCTTTCTGAGAAACACCCTTGTGAGGTGTGCATTGAAGTCACAGAGTTAAACCTATCTTTTGATTCAGCAGATTTGAATCTCTCTTTTTGCAGAATCTGCGAGTGGATATTTGGAGTGCTTGGAAGCCTGCTGTGGAAAATCAAATATCTTCACAAAAAAAACTACACAGAAGCATTCTGAGAAACTTCTTTGTGATGTGTGCATTGATCTCACAGAGTTGAAAGTTTATTTTGATTGAGCTGTTTTGAAACACTCTTTTTCTAGAATCTGCAAGTGGATAATTGGGGAGATTTGAGGCATATTGTGGAAAAGCCAATATCTTCATATAGAAACTATACAGAAACCTTCTGAGAAACATCTTTGTGATGTGTGCATTCAGCTCACAGAGCTGGACCTAACTTTTGAGTGACCAGTTTTGAATCTCTCTTTTTGTACAATATGCAAGTGGATATTTGGAGCGATTTGAGGCCTACATTTGAAAATCAAATATCTTCCCTTAAAAACTACACAGAAACATTCTCAGAAATTGTTTGTCATGTGTGCTTTCCAATTACCAAGTTGAACCTATCTTGTGATTGAGCAGTTTTGAATCTCTCTTTTTGTGGAATCGGCAAGTGGATATTTTTAGCCCTTTGCGGACTGTGGTGGAAAAGGAATTATCTTCAAATCAATTCTACACAGAAGCATTCAGACAAACTTCTTTGTGATGAGTGCATTGGTCACACAGAATTGAACCTTCCCTTTGATTGAGCAATTCTGAAACACTCTTTTGGAGGGTCTGCAAGTGGATATTTTAGAGCTTTGGGACAACTGTGGAAAAGTAAATATCTTCACATAAAAACTACACGGAAGCATTCTGAGAAACTTCTTTGGAGGTGTGCATTCAACTCACAGAGTTGAACCTATCTTTTCATTGAGCAGTTTTGAATCTCTCATTTTGTAGACTCTGCTCGCAGATATTTGGAGAGCTTTGAGGCCTATTGTGGAAAAGGAAATATCTTCACATAAAAACACACAGAAGCACTCTGAGAAACTTCTTTGTGAGGTGTGCTTTCAACTCACAGAGTTGAACCTATCTTTTGATTGAGAAGTTTTGAATCTCTCTTTTTGTAGAAGCTGCATGTGGATATTTGGAGACGTTTGTGGCCTATGGTAGAAAAGGAAATATCTTCAAATAAAAACTAGACAGACGCATTTTGAGAAAATTCTCTGTGCTGTGTGCATTCATATCACAGGGTTGAAACTACCTTTGGATTGAGCAGTTTTGAATCTCACATTTTGTACCATCTGCAATGGATATTTGGAGCCCTTTCTGGTCTGTGGTGGAAAAGGAACTATCCTCAAATAGAAACTACACAGAAGTACTCTGAGAAACTTCTTTGTGATGTGGGCATTCATCTCACAGAGTTGAACCTTTGGTTTGATTGAGCAGTTTTGAGACAATCTTTCCATAGAATCTGGAAGTGAATATTTGGAGAACTTTGAGATCCATTTTGGAGAAGGAGATATCTTTATATGAAAACTACACAGAAGCATTCTGAGAAACATCCTTGTGAGGTGTGCACTGAAGTCACAGAGTTGAAACTGTCTTTTGATTCAGCAGTTTTGAATCTCTCTTTTTGCAGAATCTGTGAGTGGATATTTGGAGCGCTTTGAGGCCTACTGTGGAAAACCAAATATCTTCACATAAAAACTACACAGAAGCATCCTGAGAAACTTTTTTTGTGATGTGGTCTTTCAGCTAATGGAGTAGAAACTATCTTTTGATTGAGCAGTTTTGAATCTCTCTTTTTGCAGAATCTACGAGTGGATAATTGGAGAACTTTGAGGCGTACTGTGGAAAATCGAATATCTTCGCATAAAAACTACACAGAAGCATTCTGAGAAACTTCTCTGTCATACGTACATTCATCTCACAGGGTTGATCCTAGTTCATGATTGAGCAGTTTTGGAACACTCTTTTTGTAGAATCTGCAAGTGAATATTTGGAGCTCTTTGGGGCCTACTGTGGAAAAACAAATATCTTCACATAAAAACTACACAGAAGCATTCTGAGAAACTACTTTGTGATGTGTGCATTCATCCCACAGAGTAGAACCTTTCTTTTGATTGAGCAGTTTCGAAACACTCTTTTGGTGGAATCTGCAAGTGGACATTTGGAAAGCTTTGAGGCCTATTGTGGAAAGGGAAATATCTTCAAATAAAAACCACCCAGAAGTACTCTGTGAAACTTCTTTGCGATGTATGCATTCAACTCACAGTGTTGAACCTATGTTTTGATTGAGCAGTTTGGAATCTCTCTTTCTGTAGAATCTGCAAGTGAATATTTGGAGCCCTATTTCACCCTATACTGGAAAAGCAATTATCTTCAAATAAAAACTGCACAGAAGCACTCAGAGAAACTTCTTTGTGATGAATGCATTCATCACACAGAGTTGAACCTTTGTTTTGATTTAGCAGTTTGAGACAATCTTTCCGTAGAATCTTGAAGTGAATATTTGGAGGGCTTGGAGTTCTGTTTTAGAGAAGAAGATATCTTCATCAAAAACTACACGGAAGCTTTCTGAGAAACTTCTTTGTGATGTGTGCATTCAACTATCGGAGTTGAACCTATCTTATGATTGAGGAGTTTGGAAACACTCTTTGTAGAGTCTGCAAGTGGATATTTACAGAGATTTGAGGCCTATTGTGGAAAAGGAAGTATCTTCACATAAAAACCACACAGAAGCACTCTGAAAAACATCTTTGGGATGTGTGCATTCAACTAACCGTGTTGAAACAATGTTTTGATTGAGCAG
This sequence comes from Homo sapiens, assembly GCF_000001405.40. Classification (NCBI taxonomy): domain Eukaryota; kingdom Metazoa; phylum Chordata; class Mammalia; order Primates; family Hominidae; genus Homo; species Homo sapiens. Next base: position 18,201,773 of record NC_000015.10, read on the forward strand.
CTTAGAATCTCTCTTTTTGTAGGAAATGCAAGTGGATATTTGGAGCCCCATTTCGCCCTATGGTGGAAAACGAAACATACTCACAAAAAAGCTGCAGAGAAGCATTCTGAGAAACTTCTTTGCGATGTTGGCATTCAACTCACAGAGTCGAATCTATCTTTTGATAGAGCTGTTTTGTATCTCTCTTTTTGCAGAATCTGCAAGTGAATATTTGGAAAACTTTGAGGCCTATTGTGGAAAGGGAAATATCCTCAAATAAAAACTACCCAGAAGCACTCTGTGAAACTTCTTTGTGATGTGTGCATTCAACTCACAGTGTTGAACCTATGTTTTGATTGAGCAGTTTGGAATCTCTCCTTTTGTAGAATCTGCAAGTGAATATTTGGAGCCCTATTTCACCCTATACTGGAAAAGCAAATATCTTCAAATAAAAACTACACAGAGGCATTCAGAGAAACTTCTCTGTGATGAGTGCATTCATCACACAGAGTTGAACATTTGTTTAGATTTAGCAGTGTTGAGACAATCTTTCCGTAGAATCTTGAAGTGAATATTTGGAGGGCTTTGAGACCTGCTTTGGAGAAGGAGATATCTTCATATAAAAACTACACAGAAGCTTTCTGAGAAACACCCTTGTGAGGTGTGCATTGAAGTCACAGAGTTAAACCTATCTTTTGATTCAGCAGATTTGAATCTCTCTTTTTGCAGAATCTGCGAGTGGATATTTGGAGTGCTTGGAAGCCTGCTGTGGAAAATCAAATATCTTCACAAAAAAAACTACACAGAAGCATTCTGAGAAACTTCTTTGTGATGTGTGCATTGATCTCACAGAGTTGAAAGTTTATTTTGATTGAGCTGTTTTGAAACACTCTTTTTCTAGAATCTGCAAGTGGATAATTGGGGAGATTTGAGGCATATTGTGGAAAAGCAAATATCTTCATATAAAAACTATACAGAAACCTTCTGAGAAACATCTTTGTGATGTGTGCATTCAGCTCACAGAGCTGGACCTAACTTTTGAGTGACCAGTTTTGAATCTCTCTTTTTGTACAATATGCAAGTGGATATTTGGAGCGATTTGAGGCCTACATTTGAAAATCAAATATCTTCCCTTAAAAACTACACAGAAACATTCTCAGAAATTGTTTGTCATGTGTGCTTTCCAATTACCAAGTTGAACCTATCTTGTGATTGAGCAGTTTTGAATCTCTCTTTTTGTGGAATCGGCAAGTGGATATTTTTAGCCCTTTGCGGACTGTGGTGGAAAAGGAATTATCTTCAAATCAATTCTACACAGAAGCATTCAGACAAACTTCTTTGTGATGAGTGCATTGGTCACACAGAATTGAACCTTCCCTTTGATTGAGCAATTCTGAAACACTCTTTTGGAGGGTCTGCAAGTGGATATTTTAGAGCTTTGGGACAACTGTGGAAAAGTAAATATCTTCACATAAAAACTACACGGAAGCATTCTGAGAAACTTCTTTGGAGGTGTGCATTCAACTCACAGAGTTGAACCTATCTTTTCATTGAGCAGTTTTGAATCTCTCATTTTGTAGACTCTGCTCGCAGATATTTGGAGAGCTTTGAGGCCTATTGTGGAAAAGGAAATATCTTCACATAAAAACACACAGAAGCACTCTGAGAAACTTCTTTGTGAGGTGTGCTTTCAACTCACAGAGTTGAACCTATCTTTTGATTGAGAAGTTTTGAATCTCTCTTTTTGTAGAAGCTGCATGTGGATATTTGGAGACGTTTGTGGCCTATGGTAGAAAAGGAAATATCTTCAAATAAAAACTAGACAGACGCATTTTGAGAAAATTCTCTGTGCTGTGTGCATTCATATCACATGGTTGAAACTACCTTTGGTTTGAGCAGTTTTGAATCTCACTTTTTGTACCATCTGCAATGGATATTTGGAGCCCTTTCTGGTCTGTGGTGGAAAAGGAACTATCCTCAAATAGAAACTACACAGAAGTACTCTGAGAAACTTCTTTGTGATGTGGGCATTCATCTCACAGAGTTGAACCTTTGGTTTGATTGAGCAGTTTTGAGACAATCTTTCCATAGAATCTGGAAGTGAATATTTGGAGAACTTTGAGATCCATTTTGGAGAAGGAGATATCTTTATATGAAAACTACACAGAAGCATTCTGAGAAACATCCTTGTGAGGTGTGCACTGAAGTCACAGAGTTGAAACTGTCTTTTGATTCAGCAGTTTTGAATCTCTCTTTTTGCAGAATCTGTGAGTGGATATTTGGAGCGCTTTGAGGCCTACTGTGGAAAACCAAATATCTTCACATAAAAACTACACAGAAGCATCCTGAGAAACTTTTTTTGTGATGTGGTCTTTCAGCTAATGGAGTAGAAACTATCTTTTGATTGAGCAGTTTTGAATCTCTCTTTTTGCAGAATCTACGAGTGGATAATTGGAGAACTTTGAGGCGTACTGTGGAAAATCGAATATCTTCGCATAAAAACTACACAGAAGCATTCTGAGAAACTTCTCTGTCATACGTACATTCATCTCACAGGGTTGATCCTATTTCATGATTGAGCAGTTTTGGAACACTCTTTTTGTAGAATCTGCAAGTGAATATTTGGAGCTCCTTGGGGCCTACAGTGGAAAAACAAATATCTTCACATAAAAACTACACAGAAGCATTCTGAGAAACTACTTTGTGATGTGTGCATTCATCCCACAGAGTAGAACCTTTCTTTTGATTGAGCAGTTTCGAAACACTCTTTTGGTGGAATCTGCAAGTGGACATTTGGAAAGCTTTGAGGCCTATTGTGGAAAGGGAAATATCTTCAAATAAAAGCCACCCAGAAGTACTCTGTGAAACTTCTTTGCGATGTATGCATTCAACTCACAGTGTTGAACCTATGTTTTGATTGAGCAGTTTGGAATCTCTCTTTCTGTAGAATCTGCAAGTGAATATTTGGAGCCCTATTTCGCCCTATACTGGAAAAGCAATTATCTTCAAATAAAAACTGCACAGAAGCACTCAGAGAAACTTCTTTGAGATGAATGCGTTCATGACACAGAGTTGAAACTTTGTTTTGATTTAGGAGTTTTGAGACAATCTTTCCGTAGAATCTTGAAGTGAATATTTGGAGGGCTTGGAGTTCTGTTTTAGAGAAGGAGATATCTTCATCAAAAACTACACAGAAGCTTTCTGAGAAACTTCTTTGTGATGTGTGCATTCAACTATCGGAGTTGAACCTATCTTATGATTGAGGAGTTTGGAAACACTCTTTGTAGAGTCTGCAAGTGGATATTTACAGAGATTTGAGGCCTATTGTGGAAAAGGAAGTATCTTCACATAAAAACCACACAGAAGCACTCTGAAAAACATCTTTGGGATGTGTGCATTCAACTAACCGTGTTGAAACAATGTTTTGATTGAGCAGCTTAGAATCTCTCTTTTTGTAGGAAATGCAAGTGGATATTTGGAGCCCCATTTCGCCCTATGGTGGAAAACGAAACATACTCACAAAAAAGCTGCAGAGAAGCATTCTGAGAAACTTCTTTGCGATGTTGGCATTCAACTCACAGAGTCGAATCTATCTTTTGATAGAGCAGTTTTGTATCTCTGTTTTTGCAGAATCTGCAAGTGGATATTTGGAAAGCTTTGAGGCCTATTGTGGAAAGGGAAATATCCTCAAATAAAAACTACCCAGAAGCACTCTGTGAAACTTCTTTGTGATGTGTGCATTCAACTCACAGTGTTGAACCTATGTTTTGATTGAGCAGTTTGGAATCTCTCCTTTTGTAGAATCTGCAAGTGAATATTTGGAGCCCTATTTCGCCCTATACTGGAAAAGCAAATATCTTCAAATAAAAACTACACAGAGGCATTCAGAGAAACTTCTCTGTGATGAGTGCATTCATCACACAGAGTTGAACATTTGTTTAGATTTAGCAGTGTTGAGACAATCTTTCCGTAGAATCTTGAAGTGAATATTTGGAGGGCTTTGAGACCTGCTTTGGAGAAGGAGATACCCTCATATAAAAACTACACAGAAGCTTTCTGAGAAACACCCTTGTGAGGTGTGCATTGAAGTCACAGAGTTAAACCTATCTTTTGATTCAGCAGATTTGAATCTCTCTTTTTGCAGAATCTGCGAGTGGATATTTGGAGTGCTTGGAAGCCTGCTGTGGAAAATCAAATATCTTCACAAAAAAAACTACACAGAAGCATTCTGAGAAACTTCTTTGTGATGTGTGCATTGATCTCACAGAGTTGAAAGTTTATTTTGATTGAGCTGTTTTGAAACACTCTTTTTCTAGAATCTGCAAGTGGATAATTGGGGAGATTTGAGGCATATTGTGGAAAAGCAAATATCTTCATATAGAAACTATACAGAAACCTTCTGAGAAACATCTTTGTGATGTGTGCATTCAGCTCACAGAGCTGGACCTAACTTTTGAGTGACCAGTTTTGAATCTCTCTTTTTGTACAATATGCAAGTGGATATTTGGAGCGATTTGAGGCCTACATTTGAAAATCAAATATCTTCCCTTAAAAACTACACAGAAACATTCTCAGAAATTGTTTGTCATGTGTGCTTTCCAATTACCAAGTTGAACCTATCTTGTGATTGAGCAGTTTTGAATCTCTCTTTTTGTGGAATCGGCAAGTGGATATTTTTAGCCCTTTGCGGACTGTGGTGGAAAAGGAATTATCTTCAAATCAATTCTACACAGAAGCATTCAGACAAACTTCTTTGTGATGAGTGCATTGGTCACACAGAATTGAACCTTCCCTTTGATTGAGCAATTCTGAAACACTCTTTTGGAGGGTCTGCAAGTGGATATTTTAGAGCTTTGGGACAACTGTGGAAAAGTAAATATCTTCACATAAAAACTACACGGAAGCATTCTGAGAAACTTCTTTGGAGGTGTGCATTCAACTCACAGAGTTGAACCTATCTTTTCATTGAGCAGTTTTGAATCTCTCATTTTGTAGACTCTGCTCGCAGATATTTGGAGAGCTTTGAGGCCTATTGTGGAAAAGGAAATATCTTCACATAAAAACACACAGAAGCACTCTGAGAAACTTCTTTGTGAGGTGTGCTTTCAACTCACAGAGTTGAACCTATCTTTTGATTGAGAAGTTTTGAATCTCTCTTTTTGTAGAAGCTGCATGTGGATATTTGGAGACGTTTGTGGCCTATGGTAGAAAAGGAAATATCTTCAAATAAAAACTAGACAGACGCATTTTGGGAAAATTCTCTGTGCTGTGTGCATTCATATCACATGGTTGAAACTACCTTTGGATTGAGCAGTTTTGAATCTCACTTTTTGTACCATCTGCAATGGATATTTGGAGCCCTTTCTGGTCTGTGGTGGAAAAGGAACTATCCTCAAATAGAAACTACACAGAAGTACTCTGAGAAACTTCTTTGTGATGTGGGCATTCATCTCACAGAGTTGAACCTTTGGTTTGATTGAGCAGTTTTGAGACAATCTTTCCATAGAATCTGGAAGTGAATATTTGGAGAACTTTGAGATCCATTTTGGAGAAGGAGATATCTTTATATGAAAACTACACAGAAGCATTCTGAGAAACATCCTTGTGAGGTGTGCACTGAAGTCACAGAGTTGAAACTGTCTTTTGATTCAGCAGTTTTGAATCTCTCTTTTTGCAGAATCTGTGAGTGGATATTTGGAGCGCTTTGAGACCTACTGTGGAAAACCAAATATCTTCACATAAAAACTACACAGAAGCATCCTGAGAAACTTTTTTTGTGATGTGGTCTTTCAGCTAATGGAGTAGAAACTATCTTTTGATTGAGCAGTTTTGAATCTCTCTTTTTGCAGAATCTACGAGTGGATAATTGGAGAACTTTGAGGCGTACTGTGGAAAATCGAATATCTTCGCATAAAAACTACACAGAAGCATTCTGAGAAACTTCTCTGTCATACGTACATTCATCTCACAGGGTTGATCCTATTTCATGATTGAGCAGTTTTGGAACACTCTTTTTGTAGAATCTGCAAGTGAATATTTGGAGCTCTTTGGGGCCTACTGTGGAAAAACAAATATCTTCACATAAAAACTACACAGAAGCATTCTGAGAAACTACTTTGTGATGTGTGCATTCATCCCACAGAGTAGAACCTTTCTTTTGATTGAGCAGTTTCGAAACACTCTTTTGGTGGAATCTGCAAGTGGACATTTGGAAAGCTTTGAGGCCTATTGTGGAAAGGGAAATATCTTCAAATAAAAACCACCCAGAAGTACTCTGTGAAACTTCTTTGCGATGTATGCATTCAACTCACAGTGTTGAACCTATGTTTTGATTGAGCAGTTTGGAATCTCTCTTTCTGTAGAATCTGCAAGTGAATATTTGGAGCCCTATTTCGCCCTATACTGGAAAAGCAATTATCTTCAAATAAAAACTGCACAGAAGCACTCAGAGAAACTTCTTTGAGATGAATGCATTCATGACACAGAGTTGAAACTTTGTTTTGATTTAGGAGTTTTGAGACAATCTTTCCGTAGAATCTTGAAGTGAATATTTGGAGGGCTTGGAGTTCTGTTTTAGAGAAGAAGATATCTTCATCAAAAACTACACAGAAGCTTTCTGAGAAACTTCTTTGTGATGTGTGCATTCAACTATCGGAGTTGAACCTATCTTATGATTGAGCAGTTTGGAAACACTCTTTGTAGAGTCTGCAAGTGGATATTTACAGAGATTTGAGGCCTATTGTGGAAAAGGAAGTATCTTCACATAAAAACCACACAGAAGCACTCTGAAAAACATCTTTGGGATGTGTGCATTCAACTAACCGTGTTGAAACAATGTTTTGATTGAGCAGCTTAGAATCTCTCTTTTTGTAGGAAATGCAAGTGGATATTTGGAGCCCCATTTCGCCCTATGGTGGAAAACGAAACATACTCACAAAAAAGCTGCAGAGAAGCATTCTGAGAAACTTCTTTGCGATGTTGGCATTCAACTCACAGAGTCGAATCTATCTTTTGATAGAGCAGTTTTGTATCTCTCTTTTTGCAGAATCTGCAAGTGGATATTTGGAAAGCTTTGAGGCCTATTGTGGAAAGGGAAATATCCTCAAATAAAAACTACCCAGAAGCACTCTGTGAAACTTCTTTGTGATGTGTGCATTCAACTCACAGTGTTGAACCTATGTTTTGATTGAGCAGTTTGGAATCTCTCCTTTTGTAGAATCTGCAAGTGAATATTTGGAGCCCTATTTCGCCCTATACTGGAAAAGCAAATATCTTCAAATAAAAACTACACAGAGGCCTTCAGAGAAACTTCTCTGTGATGAGTGCATTCATCACACAGAGTTGAACATTTGTTTAGATTTAGCAGTGTTGAGACAATCTTTCCGTAGAATCTTGAAGTGAATATTTGGAGGGCTTTGAGACCTGCTTTGGAGAAGGAGATATCTTCATATAAAAACTACACAGAAGCTTTCTGAGAAACACCCTTGTGAGGTGTGCATTGAAGTCACAGAGTTAAACCTATCTTTTGATTCAGCAGATTTGAATCTCTCTTTTTGCAGAATCTGCGAGTGGATATTTGGAGTGCTTGGAAGCCTGCTGTGGAAAATCAAATATCTTCACAAAAAAAACTACACAGAAGCATTCTGAGAAACTTCTTTGTGATGTGTGCATTGATCTCACAGAGTTGAAAGTTTATTTTGATTGAGCTGTTTTGAAACACTCTTTTTCTAGAATCTGCAAGTGGATAATTGGGGAGATTTGAGGCATATTGTGGAAAAGCCAATATCTTCATATAGAAACTATACAGAAACCTTCTGAGAAACATCTTTGTGATGTGTGCATTCAGCTCACAGAGCTGGACCTAACTTTTGAGTGACCAGTTTTGAATCTCTCTTTTTGTACAATATGCAAGTGGATATTTGGAGCGATTTGAGGCCTACATTTGAAAATCAAATATCTTCCCTTAAAAACTACACAGAAACATTCTCAGAAATTGTTTGTCATGTGTGCTTTCCAATTACCAAGTTGAACCTATCTTGTGATTGAGCAGTTTTGAATCTCTCTTTTTGTGGAATCGGCAAGTGGATATTTTTAGCCCTTTGCGGACTGTGGTGGAAAAGGAATTATCTTCAAATCAATTCTACACAGAAGCATTCAGACAAACTTCTTTGTGATGAGTGCATTGGTCACACAGAATTGAACCTTCCCTTTGATTGAGCAATTCTGAAACACTCTTTTGGAGGGTCTGCAAGTGGATATTTTAGAGCTTTGGGACAGCTGTGGAAAAGTAAATATCTTCACATAAAAACTACACGGAAGCATTCTGAGAAACTTCTTTGGAGGTGTGCATTCAACTCACAGAGTTGAACCTATCTTTTCATTGAGCAGTTTTGAATCTCTCATTTTGTAGACTCTGCTCGCAGATATTTGGAGAGCTTTGAGGCCTGTTGTGGAAAAGGAAATATCTTCACATAAAAACACACAGAAGCACTCTGAGAAACTTCTTTGTGAGGTGTGCTTTCAACTCACAGAGTTGAACCTATCTTTTGATTGAGAAGTTTTGAATCTCTCTTTTTGTAGAAGCTGCATGTGGATATTTGGAGACGTTTGTGGCCTATGGTAGAAAAGGAAATATCTTCAAATAAAAACTAGACAGACGCATTTTGAGAAAATTCTCTGTGCTGTGTGCATTCATATCACATGGTTGAAACTACCTTTGGATTGAGCAGTTTTGAATCTCACTTTTTGTACCATCTGCAATGGATATTTGGAGCCCTTTCTGGTCTGTGGTGGAAAAGGAACTATCCTCAAATAGAAACTACACAGAAGTACTCTGAGAAACTTCTTTGTGATGTGGGCATTCATCTCACAGAGTTGAACCTTTGGTTTGATTGAGCAGTTTTGAGACAATCTTTCCATAGAATCTGGAAGTGAATATTTGGAGAACTTTGAGATCCATTTTGGAGAAGGAGATATCTTTATATGAAAACTACACAGAAGCATTCTGAGAAACATCCTTGTGAGGTGTGCACTGAAGTCACAGAGTTGAAACTGTCTTTTGATTCAGCAGTTTTGAATCTCTCTTTTTGCAGAATCTGTGAGTGGATATTTGGAGCGCTTTGAGGCCTACTGTGGAAAACCAAATATCTTCACATAAAAACTACACAGAAGCATCCTGAGAAACTTTTTTTGTGATGTGGTCTTTCAGCTAATGGAGTAGAAACTATCTTTTGATTGAGCAGTTTTGAATCTCTCTTTTTGCAGAATCTACGAGTGGATAATTGGAGAACTTTGAGGCGTACTGTGGAAAATCGAATATCTTCGCATAAAAACTACACAGAAGCATTCTGAGAAACTTCTCTGTCATACGTACATTCATCTCACAGGGTTGATCCTATTTCATGATTGAGCAGTTTTGGAACACTCTTTTTGTAGAATCTGCAAGTGAATATTTGGAGCTCTTTGGGGCCTACTGTGGAAAAACAAATATCTTCACATAAAAACTACACAGAAGCATTCTGAGAAACTACTTTGTGATGTGTGCATTCATCCCACAGAGTAGAACCTTTCTTTTGATTGAGCAGTTTCGAAACACGCTTTTGGTGGAATCTGCAAGTGGACATTTGGAAAGCTTTGAGGCCTATTGTGGAAAGGGAAATATCTTCAAATAAAAACCACCCAGAAGTACTCTGTGAAACTTCTTTGCGATGTATGCATTCAACTCACAGTGTTGAACCTATGTTTTGATTGAGCAGTTTGGAATCTCTCTTTCTGTAGAATCTGCAAGTGAATATTTGGAGCCCTATTTCGCCCTATACTGGAAAAGCAATTATCTTCAAATAAAAACTGCACAGAAGCATTCAGAGAAACTTCTTTGAGATGAATGCATTCATGACACAGAGTTGAAACTTTGTTTTGATTTAGGAGTTTTGAGACAATCTTTCCGTAGAATCTTGAAGTGAATATTTGGAGGGCTTGGAGTTCTGTTTTAGAGAAGGAGATATCTTCATCAAAAACTACACAGAAAGCTTTCTGAGAAACTTCTTTGTGATGTGTGCATTCAACTATCGGAGTTGAACCTATCTTATGATTGAGGAGTTTGGAAACACTCTTTGTAGAGTCTGCAAGTGGATATTTACAGAGATTTGAGGCCTATTGTGGAAAAGGAAGTATCTTCACATAAAAACCACACAGAAGCACTCTGAAAAACATCTTTGGGATGTGTGCATTCAACTAACCGTGTTGAAACAATGTTTTGATTGAGCAGCTTAGAATCTCTCTTTTTGTAGGAAATGCAAGTGGATATTTGGAGCCCCATTTCGCCCTATGGTGGAAAACGAAACATACTCACAAAAAAGCTGCAGAGAAGCATTCTGAGAAACTTCTTTGCGATGTTGGCATTCAACTCACAGAGTCGAATCTATCTTTTGATAGAGCAGTTTTGTATCTCTCTTTTTGCAGAATCTGCAAGTGGATATTTGGAAAGCTTTGAGGCCTATTGTGGAAAGGGAAATATCCTCAAATAAAAACTACCCAGAAGCACTCTGTGAAACTTCTTTGTGATGTGTGCATTCAACTCACAGTGTTGAACCTATGTTTTGATTGAGCAGTTTGGAATCTCTCCTTTTGTAGAATCTGCAAGTGAATATTTGGAGCCCTATTTCGCCCTATACTGGAAAAGCAAATATCTTCAAATAAAAACTACACAGAGGCATTCAGAGAAACTTCTCTGTGATGAGTGCATTCATCACACAGAGTTGAACATTTGTTTAGATTTAGCAGTGTTGAGACAATCTTTCCGTAGAATCTTGAAGTGAATATTTGGAGGGCTTTGAGACCTGCTTTGGAGAAGGAGATATCTTCATATAAAAACTACACAGAAGCTTTCTGAGAAACACCCTTGTGAGGTGTGCATTGAAGTCACAGAGTTAAACCTATCTTTTGATTCAGCAGATTTGAATCTCTCTTTTTGCAGAATCTGCGAGTGGATATTTGGAGTGCTTGGAAGCCTGCTGTGGAAAATCAAATATCTTCACAAAAAAAACTACACAGAAGCATTCTGAGAAACTTCTTTGTGATGTGTGCATTGATCTCACAGAGTTGAAAGTTTATTTTGATTGAGCTGTTTTGAAACACTCTTTTTCTAGAATCTGCAAGTGGATAATTGGGGAGATTTGAGGCATATTGTGGAAAAGCCAATATCTTCATATAGAAACTATACAGAAACCTTCTGAGAAACATCTTTGTGATGTGTGCATTCAGCTCACAGAGCTGGACCTAACTTTTGAGTGACCAGTTTTGAATCTCTCTTTTTGTACAATATGCAAGTGGATATTTGGAGCGATTTGAGGCCTACATTTGAAAATCAAATATCTTCCCTTAAAAACTACACAGAAACATTCTCAGAAATTGTTTGTCATGTGTGCTTTCCAATTACCAAGTTGAACCTATACTTGTGATTGAGCAGTTTTGAATCTCTCTTTTTGTGGAATCGGCAAGTGGATATTTTTAGCCCTTTGCGGACTGTGGTGGAAAAGGAATTATCTTCAAATCAATTCTACACAGAAGCATTCAGACAAACTTCTTTGTGATGAGTGCATTGGTCACACAGAATTGAACCTTCCCTTTGATTGAGCAATTCTGAAACACTCTTTTGGAGGGTCTGCAAGTGGATATTTTAGAGCTTTGGGACAACTGTGGAAAAGTAAATATCTTCACATAAAAACTACACGGAAGCATTCTGAGAAACTTCTTTGGAGGTGTGCATTCAACTCACAGAGTTGAACCTATCTTTTCATTGAGCAGTTTTGAATCTCTCATTTTGTAGACTCTGCTCGCAGATATTTGGAGAGCTTTGAGGCCTATTGTGGAAAAGGAAATATCTTCACATAAAAACACACAGAAGCACTCTGAGAAACTTCTTTGTGAGGTGTGCTTTCAACTCACAGAGTTGAACCTATCTTTTGATTGAGAAGTTTTGAATCTCTCTTTTTGTAGAAGCTGCATGTGGATATTTGGAGACGTTTGTGGCCTATGGTAGAAAAGGAAATATCTTCAAATAAAAACTAGACAGACGCATTTTGAGAAAATTCTCTGTGCTGTGTGCATTCATATCACATGGTTGAAACTACCTTTGGATTGAGCAGTTTTGAATCTCACTTTTTGTACCATCTGCAATGGATATTTGGAGCCCTTTCTGGTCTGTGGTGGAAAAGGAACTATCCTCAAATAGAAACTACACAGAAGTACTCTGAGAAACTTCTTTGTGATGTGGGCATTCATCTCACAGAGTTGAACCTTTGGTTTGATTGAGCAGTTTTGAGACAATCTTTCCAAAGAATCTGGAAGTGAATATTTGGAGAACTTTGAGATCCATTTTGGAGAAGGAGATATCTTTATATGAAAACTACACAGAAGCATTCTGAGAAACATCCTTGTGAGGTGTGCACTGAAGTCACAGAGTTGAAACTGTCTTTTGATTCAGCAGTTTTGAATCTCTCTTTTTGCAGAATCTGTGAGTGGATATTTGGAGCGCTTTGAGGCCTACTGTGGAAAACCAAATATCTTCACATAAAAACTACACAGAAGCATCCTGAGAAACTTTTTTTGTGATGTGGTCTTTCAGCTAATGGAGTAGAAACTATCTTTTGATTGAGCAGTTTTGAATCTCTCTTTTTGCAGAATCTACGAGTGGATAATTGGAGAACTTTGAGGCGTACTGTGGAAAGTCGAATATCTTCGCATAAAAACTACACAGAAGCATTCTGAGAAACTTCTCTGTCATACGTACATTCATCTCACAGGGTTGATCCTATTTCATGATTGAGCAGTTTCGGAACACTCTTTTTGTAGAATCTGCAAGTGAATATTTGGAGCTCCTTGGGGCCTACTGTGGAAAAACAAATATCTTCACATAAAAACTACACAGAAGCATTCTGAGAAACTACTTTGTGATGTGTGCATTCATCCCACAGAGTAGAACCTTTCTTTTGATTGAGCAGTTTCGAAACACTCTTTTGGTGGAATCTGCAAGTGGACATTTGGAAAGCTTTGAGGCCTATTGTGGAAAGGGAAATATCTTCAAATAAAAACCACCCAGAAGTACTCTGTGAAACTTCTTTGCGATGTATGCATTCAACTCACAGTGTTGAACCTATGTTTTGATTGAGCAGTTTGGAATCTCTCTTTCTGTAGAATCTGCAAGTGAATATTTGGAGCCCTATTTCGCCCTATACTGGAAAAGCAATTATCTTCAAATAAAAACTGCACAGAAGCATTCAGAGAAAGTTCTTTGAGATGAATGCATTCATGACACAGAGTTGAAACTTTGTTTTGATTTAGGAGTTTTGAGACAATCTTTCCGTAGAATCTTGAAGTGAATATTTGGAGGGCTTGGAGTTCTGTTTTAGAGAAGGAGATATCTTCATCAAAAACTACACAGAAGCTTTCTGAGAAACTTCTTTGTGATGTGTGCATTCAACTATCGGAGTTGAACCTATCTTATGATTGAGCAGTTTGGAAACACTCTTTGTAGAGTCTGCAAGTGGATATTTACAGAGATTTGAGGCCTATTGTGGAAAAGGAAGTATCTTCACATAAAAACCACACAGAAGCACTCTGAAAAACGTCTTTGGGATGTGTGCATTCAACTAACCGTGTTGAAACAATGTTTTGATTGAGCAGCTTAGAATCTCTCTTTTTGTAGGAAATGCAAGTGGATATTTGGAGCCCCATTTCGCCCTATGGTGGAAAACGAAACATACTCACAAAAAAGCTGCAGAGAAGCATTCTGAGAAACTTCTTTGCGATGTTGGCATTCAACTCACAGAGTCGAATCTATCTTTTGATAGAGCAGTTTTGTATCTCTGTTTTTGCAGAATCTGCAAGTGGATATTTGGAAAGCTTTGAGGCCTATTGTGGAAAGGGAAATATCCTCAAATAAAAACTACCCAGAAGCACTCTGTGAAACTTCTTTGTGATGTGTGCATTCAACTCACAGTGTTGAACCTATGTTTTGATTGAGCAGTTTGGAATCTCTCCTTTTGTAGAATCTGCAAGTGAATATTTGGAGCCCTATTTCGCCCTATACTGGAAAAGCAAATATCTTCAAATAAAAACTACACAGAGGCATTCAGAGAAACTTCTCTGTGATGAGTGCATTCATCACACAGAGTTGAACATTTGTTTAGATTTAGCAGTGTTGAGACAATCTTTCCGTAGAATCTTGAAGTGAATATTTGGAGGGCTTTGAGACCTGCTTTGGAGAAGGAGATACCCTCATATAAAAACTACACAGAAGCTTTCTGAGAAACACCCTTGTGAGGTGTGCATTGAAGTCACAGAGTTAAACCTATCTTTTGATTCAGCAGATTTGAATCTCTCTTTTTGCAGAATCTGCGAGTGGATATTTGGAGTGCTTGGAAGCCTGCTGTGGAAAATCAAATATCTTCACAAAAAAAACTACACAGAAGCATTCTGAGAAACTTCTTTGTGATGTGTGCATTGATCTCACAGAGTTGAAAGTTTATTTTGATTGAGCTGTTTTGAAACACTCTTTTTCTAGAATCTGCAAGTGGATAATTGGGGAGATTTGAGGCATATTGTGGAAAAGCCAATATCTTCATATAGAAACTATACAGAAACCTTCTGAGAAACATCTTTGTGATGTGTGCATTCAGCTCACAGAGCTGGACCTAACTTTTGAGTGACCAGTTTTGAATCTCTCTTTTTGTACAATATGCAAGTGGATATTTGGAGCGATTTGAGGCCTACATTTGAAAATCAAATATCTTCCCTTAAAAACTACACAGAAACATTCTCAGAAATTGTTTGTCATGTGTGCTTTCCAATTACCAAGTTGAACCTATACTTGTGATTGAGCAGTTTTGAATCTCTCTTTTTGTGGAATCGGCAAGTGGATATTTTTAGCCCTTTGCGGACTGTGGTGGAAAAGGAATTATCTTCAAATCAATTCTACACAGAAGCATTCAGACAAACTTCTTTGTGATGAGTGCATTGGTCACACAGAATTGAACCTTCCCTTTGATTGAGCAATTCTGAAACACTCTTTTGGAGGGTCTGCAAGTGGATATTTTAGAGCTTTGGGACAACTGTGGAAAAGTAAATATCTTCACATAAAAACTACACGGAAGCATTCTGAGAAACTTCTTTGGAGGTGTGCATTCAACTCACAGAGTTGAACCTATCTTTTCATTGAGCAGTTTTGAATCTCTCATTTTGTAGTCTCTGCTCGCAGATATTTGGAGAGCTTTGAGGCCTGTTGTGGAAAAGGAAATATCTTCACATAAAAACACACAGAAGCACTCTGAGAAACTTCTTTGTGAGGTGTGCTTTCAACTCACAGAGTTGAACCTATCTTTTGATTGAGAAGTTTTGAATCTCTCTTTTTGTAGAAGCTGCATGTGGATATTTGGAGACGTTTGTGGCCTGTGGTAGAAAAGGAAATATCTTCAAATAAAAACTAGACAGACGCATTTTGAGAAAATTCTCTGTGCTGTGTGCCTTCATATCACATGGTTGAAACTACCTTTGGATTGAGCAGTTTTGAATCTCACTTTTTGTACCATCTGCAATGGATATTTGGAGCCCTTTCTGGTCTGTGGTGGAAAAGGAACTATCCTCAAATAGAAACTACACAGAAGTACTCTGAGAAACTTCTTTGTGATGTGGGCATTCATCTCACAGAGTTGAACCTTTGGTTTGATTGAGCAGTTTTGAGACAATCTTTCCATAGAATCTGGAAGTGAATATTTGGAGAACTTTGAGATCCATTTTGGAGAAGGAGATATCTTTATATAAAAACTACACAGAAGCATTCTGAGAAACATCCTTGTGAGGTGTGCACTGAAGTCACAGAGTTGAAACTGTCTTTTGATTCAGCAGTTTTGAATCTCTCTTTTTGCAGAATCTGTGAGTGGATATTTGGAGCGCTTTGAGGCCTACTGTGGAAAACCAAATATCTTCACATAAAAACTACACAGAAGCATCCTGAGAAACTTTTTTTGTGATGTGGTCTTTCAGCTAATGGAGTAGAAACTATCTTTTGATTGAGCAGTTTTGAATCTCTCTTTTTGCAGAATCTACGAGTGGATAATTGGAGAACTTTGAGGCGTACTGTGGAAAATCGAATATCTTCGCATAAAAACTACACAGAAGCATTCTGAGAAACTTCTCTGTCATACGTACATTCATCTCACAGGGTTGATCCTATTTCATGATTGAGCAGTTTTGGAACACTCTTTTTGTAGAATCTGCAAGTGAATATTTGGAGCTCTTTGGGGCCTACTGTGGAAAAACAACTATCTTCACATAAAAACTACACAGAAGCATTCTGAGAAACTACTTTGTGATGTGTGCATTCATCCCACAGAGTAGAACCTTTCTTTTGATTGAGCAGTTTCGAAACACTCTTTTGGTGGAATCTGCAAGTGGACATTTGGAAAGCTTTGAGGCCTATTGTGGAAAGGGAAATATCTCCAAATAAAAACCACCCAGAAGTACTCTGTGAAACTTCTTTGCGATGTATGCATTCAACTCACAGTGTTGAACCTATGTTTTGATTGAGCAGTTTGGAATCTCTCTTTCTGTAGAATCTGCAAGTGAATATTTGGAGCCCTATTTCGCCCTATACTGGAAAAGCAATTATCTTCAAATAAAAACTGCACAGAAGCACTCAGAGAAGCTTCTTTGTGATGAATGCATTCATCACACAGAGTAGAACATTTGTTTTGATTTAGCAGTTTGAGACAATCTTTCCGTAGAATCTTGAAGTGAATATTTGGAGGGCTTGGAGTTCTGTTTTAGAGAAGAAGATATCTTCATCAAAAACTACACAGAAGCTTTCTGAGAAACTTCTTTGTGATGTGTGCATTCAACTATCGGAGTTGAACCTATCTTATGATTGAGGAGTTTGGAAACACTCTTTGTAGAGTCTGCAAGTGGATATTTACAGAGATTTGAGGCCTATTGTGGAAAAGGAAGTATCTTCACATAAAAACCACACAGAAGCACTCTGAAAAACATCTTTGGGATGTGTGCATTCCACTAACCGTGTTGAAACAATGTTTTGATTGAGCAGCTTAGAATCTCTCTTTTTGTAGGAAATGCAAGTGGATATTTGGAGCCCCATTTCGCCCTATGGTGGAAAACGAAACGTACTCTCAAAAAAGCTGCAGAGAAGCATTCTGAGAAACTTCTTTGCGATGTTGGCATTCAACTCACAGAGTCGAATCTATCTTTTGATAGAGCAGTTTTGTATCTCTCTTTTTGCAGAATCTGCAAGTGGATATTTGGAAAGCTTTGAGGCCTATTGTGGAAAGGGAAATATCCTCAAATAAAAACTACCCAGAAGCACTCTGTGAAACTTCTTTGTGATGTGTGCATTCAACTCACAGTGTTGAACCTATGTTTTGATTGAGCAGTTTGGAATCTCTCCTTTTGTAGAATCTGCAAGTGAATATTTGGAGCCCTATTTCGCCCTATACTGGAAAAGCAAATTCTTCAAATAAAAACTACACAGAGGCATTCAGAGAAACTTCTCTGTGATGAGTGCATTCATCACACAGAGTTGAACATTTGTTTAGATTTAGCAGTGTTGAGACAATCTTTCCGTAGAATCTTGAAGTGAATATTTGGAGGGCTTTGAGACCTGCTTTGGAGAAGGAGATATCTTCATATAAAAACTACACAGAAGCTTTCTGAGAAACACCCTTGTGAGGTGTGCATTGAAGTCACAGAGTTAAACCTATCTTTTGATTCAGCAGATTTGAATCTCTCTTTTTGCAGAATCTGCGAGTGGATATTTGGAGTGCTTGGAAGCCTGCTGTGGAAAATCAAATATCTTCACAAAAAAAACTACACAGAAGCATTCTGAGAAACTTCTTTGTGATGTGTGCATTGATCTCACAGAGTTGAAAGTTTATTTTGATTGAGCTGTTTTGAAACACTCTTTTTCTAGAATCTGCAAGTGGATAATTGGGGAGATTTGAGGCATATTGTGGAAAAGCAAATATCTTCATATAGAAACTATACAGAAACCTTCTGAGAAACATCTTTGTGATGTGTGCATTCAGCTCACAGAGCTGGACCTAACTTTTGAGTGACCAGTTTTGAATCTCTCTTTTTGTACAATATGCAAGTGGATATTTGGAGCGATTTGAGGCCTACATTTGAAAATCAAATATCTTCCCTTAAAACTACACAGAAACATTCTCAGAAATTGTTTGTCATGTGTGCTTTCCAATTACCAAGTTGAACCTATCTTGTGATTGAGCAGTTTTGAATCTCTCTTTTTGTGGAATCGGCAAGTGGATATTTTTAGCCCTTTGCGGACTGTGGTGGAAAAGGAATTATCTTCAAATCAATTCTACACAGAAGCATTCAGACAAACTCCTTTGTGATGAGTGCATTGGTCACACAGAATTGAACCTTCCCTTTGATTGAGCAATTCTGAAACACTCTTTTGGAGGGTCTGCAAGTGGATATTTTAGAGCTTTGGGACAACTGTGGAAAAGTAAATATCTTCACATAAAAACTACACGGAAGCATTCTGAGAAACTTCTTTGGAGGTGTGCATTCAACTCACAGAGTTGAACCTATCTTTTCATTGAGCAGTTTTGAATCTCTCATTTTGTAGACTCTGCTCGCAGATATTTGGAGAGCTTTGAGGCCTATTGTGGAAAAGGAAATATCTTCACATAAAAACACACAGAAGCACTCTGAGAAACTTCTTTGTGAGGTGTGCTTTCAACTCACAGAGTTGAACCTATCTTTTGATTGAGAAGTTTTGAATCTCTCTTTTTGTAGAAGCTGCATGTGGATATTTGGAGACGTTTGTGGCCTATGGTAGAAAAGAAAATATCTTCAAATAAAAACTAGACAGACGCATTTTGAGAAAATTCTCTGTGCTGTGTGCATTCATATCACATGGTTGAAACTACCTTTGGATTGAGCAGTTTTGAATCTCACTTTTTGTACCATCTGCAATGGATATTTGGAGCCCTTTCTGGTCTGTGGTGGAAAAGGAACTATCCTCAAATAGAAACTACACAGAAGTACTCTGAGAAACTTCTTTGTGATGTGTGCATTCATCTCACAGAGTTGAACCTTTGGTTTGATTGAGCAGTTTTGAGACAATCTTTCCATAGAATCTGGAAGTGAATATTTGGGGAACTTTGAGATCCATTTTGGAGAAGGAGATATCTTTATATAAAAACTACACAGAAGCATTCTGAGAAACATCCCTTGTGAGGTGTGCACTGAAGTCACAGAGTTGAAACTGTCTTTTGATTCAGCAGTTTTGAATCTCTCTTTTTGCAGAATCTGTGAGTGGATATTTGGAGCGCTTTGAGGCCTACTGTGGAAAACCAAATATCTTCACATAAAAACTACACAGAAGCATCCTGAGAAACTTTTTTTGTGATGTGGTCTTTCAGCTAATGGAGTAGAAACTATCTTTTGATTGAGCAGTTTTGAATCTCTCTTTTTGCAGAATCTACGAGTGGATAATTGGAGAACTTTGAGGCGTACTGTGGAAAATCGAATATCTTCGCATAAAAACTACACAGAAGCACTCTGTGAAACTTCTTTGTGATGTGTGCATTCAACCTCACAGTGTTGAACCTATGTTTTGATTGAGCAGTTTGGAATCTCTCCTTTTGTAGAATCTGCAAGTGAATATTTGGAGCCCTATTTCGCCCTATACTGGAAAAGCAAATATCTTCAAATAAAAACTACACAGAAGCATTCTGAGAAACTACTTTGTGATGTGTGCATTCATCCCACAGCAGTAGAACCTTTCTTTTGATTGAGCAGTTTCGAAACACTCTTTTGGTGGAATCTGCAAGTGGACATTTGGAAAGCTTTGAGGCCTATTGTGGAAAGGGAAATATCTTCAAATAAAAACCACCCAGAAGTACTCTGTGAAACTTCTTTGCGATGTATGCATTCAACTCACAGTGTTGAACCTATGTTTTGATTGAGCAGTTTGGAATCTCTCTTTCTGTAGAATCTGCAAGTGAATATTTGGAGCCCTATTTCGCCCTATACTGGAAAAGCAATTATCTTCAAATAAAAACTGCACAGAAGCATTCAGAGAAAGTTCTTTGAGATGAATGCATTCATGACACAGAGTTGAAACTTTGTTTTGATTTAGGAGTTTTGAGACAATCTTTCCGTAGAATCTTGAAGTGAATATTTGGAGGGCTTGGAGTTCTGTTTTAGAGAAGGAGATATCTTCATCAAAAACTACACAGAAGCTTTCTGAGAAACTTCTTTGTGATGTGTGCATTCAACTATCGGAGTTGAACCTATCTTATGATTGAGCAGTTTGGAAACACTCTTTGTAGAGTCTGCAAGTGGATATTTACAGAGATTTGAGGCCTATTGTGGAAAAGGAAGTATCTTCACATAAAAACCACACAGAAGCACTCTGAAAAACATCTTTGGGATGTGTGCATTCAACTAACCGTGTTGAAACAATGTTTTGATTGAGCAGCTTAGAATCTCTCTTTTTGTAGGAAATGCAAGTGGATATTTGGAGCCCCATTTCGCCCTATGGTGGAAAACGAAACATACTCACAAAAAAGCTGCAGAGAAGCATTCTGAGAAACTTCTTTGCGATGTTGGCATTCAACTCACAGAGTCGAATCTATCTTTTGATAGAGCAGTTTTGTATCTCTCTTTTTGCAGAATCTGCAAGTGGATATTTGGAAAGCTTTGAGGCCTATTGTGGAAAGGGAAATATCCTCAAATAGAAACTACCCAGAAGCACTCTGTGAAACTTCTTTGTGATGTGTGCATTCAACTCACAGTGTTGAACCTATGTTTTGATTGAGCAGTTTGGAATCTCTCCTTTTGTAGAATCTGCAAGTGAATATTTGGAGCCCTATTTCGCCCTATACTGGAAAAGCAAATATCTTCAAATAAAAACTACACAGAGGCATTCAGAGAAACTTCTCTGTGATGAGTGCATTCATCACACAGAGTTGAACATTTGTTTAGATTTAGCAGTGTTGAGACAATCTTTCCGTAGAATCTTGAAGTGAATATTTGGAGGGCTTTGAGACCTGCTTTGGAGAAGAGATATCTTCATATAAAAACTACACAGAAGCTTTCTGAGAAACACCCTTGTGAGGTGTGCATTGAAGTCACAGAGTTAAACCTATCTTTTGATTCAGCAGATTTGAATCTCTCTTTTTGCAGAATCTGCGAGTGGATATTTGGAGTGCTTGGAAGCCTGCTGTGGAAAATCAAATATCTTCACAAAAAAAACTACACAGAAGCATTCTGAGAAACTTCTTTGTGATGTGTGCATTGATCTCACAGAGTTGAAAGTTTATTTGGATTGAGCTGTTTTGAAACACTCTTTTTCTAGAATCTGCAAGTGGATAATTGGGGAGATTTGAGGCATATTGTGGAAAAGCAAATATCTTCATATAAAAACTATACAGAAACCTTCTGAGAAACATCTTTGTGATGTGTGCATTCAGCTCACAGAGCTGGACCTAACTTTTGAGTGACCAGTTTTGAATCTCTCTTTTTGTACAATATGCAAGTGGATATTTGGAGCGATTTGAGGCCTACATTTGAAAATCAAATATCTTCCCTTAAAAACTACACAGAAACATTCTCAGAAATTGTTTGTCATGTGTGCTTTCCAATTACCAAGTTGAACCTATCTTGTGATTGAGCAGTTTTGAATCTCTCTTTTTGTGGAATCGGCAAGTGGATATTTTTAGCCCTTTGCGGACTGTGGTGGAAAAGGAATTATCTTCAAATCAATTCTACACAGAAGCATTCAGACAAACTTCTTTGTGATGAGTGCATTGGTCACACAGAATTGAACCTTCCCTTTGATTGAGCAATTCTGAAACACTCTTTTGGAGGGTCTGCAAGTGGACATTTTAGAGCTTTGGGACAACTGTGGAAAAGTAAATATCTTCACATAAAAACTACACGGGAAGCATTCTGAGAAACTTCTTTGGAGGTGTGCATTCAACTCACAGAGTTGAACCTATCTTTTCATTGAGCAGTTTTGAATCTCTCATTTTGTAGACTCTGCTCGCAGATATTTGGAGAGCTTTGAGGCCTATTGTGGAAAAGGAAATATCTTCACATAAAAACACACAGAAGCACTCTGAGAAACTGCTTTGTGAGGTGTGCTTTCAACTCACAGAGTTGAACCTATCTTTTGATTGAGAAGTTTTGAATCTCTCTTTTTGTAGAAGCTGCATGTGGATATTTGGAGACGTTTGTGGCCTATGGTAGAAAAGGAAATATCTTCAAATAAAAACTAGACAGACGCATTTTGAGAAAATTCTCTGTGCTGTGTGCATTCATATCACCTGGTTGAAACTACCTTTGGATTGAGCAGTTTTGAATCTCACTTTTTGTACCATCTGCAATGGATATTTGGAGCCCTTTCTGGTCTGTGGTGGAAAAGGAACTATCCTCAAATAGAAACTACACAGAAGTACTCTGAGAAACTTCTTTGTGATGTGGGCATTCATCTCACAGAGTTGAACCTTTGGTTTGATTGAGCAGTTTTGAGACAATCTTTCCATAGAATCTGGAAGTGAATATTTGGAGAACTTTGAGATCCATTTTGGAGAAGGAGATATCTTTATATAAAAACTACACAGAAGCATGCTGAGAAACATCCTTGTGAGGTGTGCACTGAAGTCACAGAGTTGAAACTGTCTTTTGATTCAGCAGTTTTGAATCTCTCTTTTTGCAGAATCTGTGAGTGGATATTTGGAGCGCTTTGAGGCCTACTGTGGAAAACCAAATATCTTCACATAAAAACTACACAGAAGCATCCTGAGAAACTTTTTTTGTGATGTGGTCTTTCAGCTAATGGAGTAGAAACTATCTTTTGATTGAGCAGTTTTGAATCTCTCTTTTTGCAGAATCTACGAGTGGATAATTGGAGAACTTTGAGGCGTACTGTGGAAAATCGAATATCTTCGCATAAAAACTACACAGAAGCATTCTGAGAAACTTCTCTGTCATACGTACATTCATCTCACAGGGTTGATCCTATTTCATGATTGAGCAGTTTTGGAACACTCTTTTTGTAGAATCTGCAAGTGAATATTTGGAGCTCTTTGGGGCCTGCTGTGGAAAAACAAATATCTTCACATAAAAACTACACAGAAGCATTCTGAGAAACTACTTTGTGATGTGTGCATTCATCCCACAGAGTAGAACCTTTCTTTTGATTGAGCAGTTTCGAAACACTCTTTTGGTGGAATCTGCAAGTGGACATTTGGAAAGCTTTGAGGCCTATTGTGGAAAGGGAAATATCTTCAAATAAAAACCACCCAGAAGTACTCTGTGAAACTTCTTTGCGATGTATGCATTCAACTCACAGTGTTGAACCTATGTTTTGATTGAGCAGTTTGGAATCTCTCTTTCTGTAGAATCTGCAAGTGAATATTTGGAGCCCTATTTCGCCCTATACTGGAAAAGCAATTATCTTCAAATAAAAACTGCACAGAAGCACTCAGAGAAACTTCTTTGTGATGAATGCATTCATCACACAGAGTTGAACCTTTGTTTTGATTTAGCAGTTTGAGACAATCTTTCCGTAGAATCTTGAAGTGAATATTTGGAGGGCTTGGAGTTCTGTTTTAGAGAAGAAGATATCTTCATCAAAAACTACACAGAAGCTTTCCGAGAAACTTCTTTGTGATGTGTGCATTCAACTATCGGAGTTGAACCTATCTTATGATTGAGCAGTTTGGAAACACTCTTTGTGGAGTCTGCAAGTGGATATTTACAGAGATTTGAGGCCTATTGTGGAAAAGGAAGTATCTTCACATAAAAACCACACAGAAGCACTCTGAAAAACATCTTTGGGATGTGTGCATTCAACTAACCGTGTTGAAACAATGTTTTGATTGAGCAGCTTAGAATCTCTCTTTTTGTAGGAAATGCAAGTGGATATTTGGAGCCCCATTTCTCCCTATGGTGGAAAACGAAACATACTCACAAAAAAGCTGCAGAGAAGCATTCTGAGAAACTTCTTTGCGATGTTGGCATTCAACTCACAGAGTCGAATCTATCTTTTGATAGAGCAGTTTTGTATCTCTCTTTTTGCAGAATCTGCAAGTGGATATTTGGAAAGCTTTGAGGCCTATTGTGGAAAGGGAAATATCCTCAAATAAAAACTACCCAGAAGCACTCTGTGAAACTTCTTTGTGATGTGTGCATTCAACTCACAGTGTTGAACCTATGTTTTGATTGAGCAGTTTGGAATCTCTCCTTTTGTAGAATCTGCAAGTGAATATTTGGAGCCCTATTTCGCCCTATACTGGAAAAGCAAATATCTTCAAATGAAAACTACACAGAGGCATTCAGAGAAACTTCTCTGTGATGAGTGCATTCATCACACAGAGTTGAACATTTGTTTAGATTTAGCAGTGTTGAGACAATCTTTCCGTAGAATCTTGAAGTGAATATTTGGAGGGCTTTGAGACCTGCTTTGGAGAAGGAGATATCTTCATATAAAAACTACACAGAAGCTTTCTGAGAAACACCCTTGTGAGGTGTGCATTGAAGTCACAGAGTTAAACCTATCTTTTGATTCAGCAGTTTGAATCTCTCTTTTTGCAGAATCTGCGAGTGGATATTTGGAGTGCTTGGAAGCCTGCTGTGGAAAATCAAATATCTTCACAAAAAAAACTACACAGAAGCATTCTGAGAAACTTCTTTGTGATGTGTGCATTGATCTCACAGAGTTGAAAGTTTATTTTGATTGAGCTGTTTTGAAACACTCTTTTTCTAGAATCTGCAAGTGGATAATTGGGGAGATTTGAGGCATATTGTGGAAAAGCAAATATCTTCATATAGAAACTATACAGAAACCTTCTGAGAAACATCTTTGTGATGTGTGCATTCAGCTCACAGAGCTGGACCTAACTTTTGAGTGACCAGTTTTGAATCTCTCTTTTTGTACAATATGCAAGTGGATATTTGGAGCGATTTGAGGCCTACATTTGAAAATCAAATATCTTCCCTTAAAAACTACACAGAAACATTCTCAGAAACTGTTTGTCATGTGTGCTTTCCAATTACCAAGTTGAACCTATCTTGTGATTGAGCAGTTTTGAATCTCTCTTTTTGTGGAATCGGCAAGTGGATATTTTTAGCCCTTTGCGGACTGTGGTGGAAAAGGAATTATCTTCAAATCAATTCTACACAGAAGCATTCAGACAAACTTCTTTGTGATGAGTGCATTGGTCACACAGAATTGAACCTTCCCTTTGATTGAGCAATTCTGAAACACTCTTTTGGAGGGTCTGCAAGTGGACATTTTAGAGCTTTGGGACAACTGTGGAAAAGTAAATATCTTCACATAAAAACTACACGGAAGCATTCTGAGAAACTTCTTTGGAGGTGTGCATTCAACTCACAGAGTTGAACCTATCTTTTCATTGAGCAGTTTTGAATCTCTCATTTTGTAGACTCTGCTCGCAGATATTTGGAGAGCTTTGAGGCCTATTGTGGAAAAGGAAATATCTTCACATAAAAACACACAGAAGCACTCTGAGAAACTTCTCTGTGAGGTGTGCTTTCAACTCACAGAGTTGAACCTATCTTTTGATTGAGAAGTTTTGAATCTCTCTTTTTGTAGAAGCTGCATGTGGATATTTGGAGACGTTTGTGGCCTATGGTAGAAAAGGAAATATCTTCAAATAAAAACTAGACAGACGCATTTTGAGAAAATTCTCTGTGCTGTGTGCATTCATATCACATGGTTGAAACTACCTTTGGATTGAGCAGTTTTGAATCTCACTTTTTGTACCATCTGCAATGGATATTTGGAGCTCTTTCTGGTCTGTGGTGGAAAAGGAACTATCCTCAAATAGAAACTACACAGAAGTACTCTGAGAAACTTCTTTGTGATGTGGGCATTCATCTCACAGAGTTGAACCTTTGGTTTGATTGAGCAGTTTTGAGACAATCTTTCCATAGAATCTGGAAGTGAATATTTGGAGAACTTTGAGATCCATTTTGGAGAAGGAGATACCTTTATATGAAAACTACACAGAAGCATTCTGAGAAACATCCTTGTGAGGTGTGCACTGAAGTCACAGAGTTGAAACTGTCTTTTGATTCAGCAGTTTTGAATCTCTCTTTTTGCAGAATCTGTGAGTGGATATTTGGAGCGCTTTGAGGCCTACTGTGGAAAACCAAATATCTTCACATAAAAACTACACAGAAGCATCCTGAGAAACTTTTTTTGTGATGTGGTCTTTCAGCTAATGGAGTAGAAACTATCTTTTGATTGAGCAGTTTTGAGTCTCTCTTTTTGCAGAATCTACGAATGGATAATTGGAGAACTTTGAGGCGTACTGTGGAAAATCGAATATCTTCGCATAAAAACTACACAGAAGCATTCTGAGAAACTTCTCTGTCATACGTACATTCATCTCACAGGGTTGATCCTATTTCATGATTGAGCAGTTTTGGAACACTCTTTTTGTAGAATCTGCAAGTGAATATTTGGAGCTCTTTGGGGCCTACAGTGGAAAAACAAATATCTTCACATAAAAACTACACAGAAGCATTCTGAGAAACTACTTTGTGATGTGTGCATTCATCCCACAGAGTAGAACCTTTCTTTTGATTGAGCAGTTTCGAAACACTCTTTTGGTGGAATCTGCAAGTGGACATTTGGAAAGCTTTGAGGCCTATTGTGGAAAGGGAAATATCTTCAAATAAAAACCACCCAGAAGTACTCTGTGAAACTTCTTTGCGATGTATGCATTCAACTCACAGTGTTGAACCTATGTTTTGATTGAGCAGTTTGGAATCTCTCTTTCTGTAGAATCTGCAAGTGAATATTTGGAGCCCTATTTCGCCCTATACTGGAAAAGCAATTATCTTCAAATAAAAACTGCACAGAAGCATTCAGAGAAACTTCTTTGAGATGAATGCATTCATGACACAGAGTTGAAACTTTGTTTTGATTTAGGAGTTTTGAGACAATCTTTCCGTAGAATCTTGAAGTGAATATTTGGAGGGCTTGGAGTTCTGTTTTAGAGAAGGAGATATCTTCATCAAAAACTACACAGAAGCTTTCTGAGAAACTTCTTTGTGATGTGTGCATTCAACTATCGGAGTTGAACCTATCTTATGATTGAGCAGTTTGGAAACACTCTTTGTAGAGTCTGCAAGTGGATATTTACAGAGATTTGAGGCCTATTGTGGAAAAGGAAGTATCTTCACATAAAAACCACACAGAAGCACTCTGAAAAACATCTTTGGGATGTGTGCATTCAACTAACCGTGTTGAAACAATGTTTTGATTGAGCAGCTTAGAATCTCTCCTTTTGTAGGAAATGCAAGTGGATATTTGGAGCCCCATTTCGCCCTATGGTGGAAAACGAAACATACTCACAAAAAAGCTGCAGAGAAGCATTCTGAGAAACTTCTTTGCGATGTTGGCATTCAACTCACAGAGTCGAATCTATCTTTTGATAGAGCAGTTTTGTATCTCTCTTTTTGCAGAATCTGCAAGTGGATATTTGGAAAGCTTTGAGGCCTATTGTGGAAAGGGAAATATCCTCAAATAAAAACTACCCAGAAGCACTCTGTGAAACTTCTTTGTGATGTGTGCATTCAACTCACAGTGTTGAACCTATGTTTTGATTGAGCAGTTTGGAATCTCTCCTTTTGTAGAATCTGCAAGTGAATATTTGGAGCCCTATTTCGCCCTATACTGGAAAAGCAAATATCTTCAAATAAAAACTACACAGAGGCATTCAGAGAAACTTCTCTGTGATGAGTGCATTCATCACACAGAGTTGAACATTTGTTTAGATTTAGCAGTGTTGAGACAATCTTTCCGTAGAATCTTGAAGTGAATATTTGGAGGGCTTTGAGACCTGCTTTGGAGAAGGAGATATCTTCATATAAAAACTACACAGAAGCTTTCTGAGAAACACCCTTGTGAGGTGTGCATTGAAGTCACAGAGTTAAACCTATCTTTTGATTCAGCAGATTTGAATCTCTCTTTTTGCAGAATCTGCGAGTGGATATTTGGAGTGCTTGGAAGCCTGCTGTGGAAAATCAAATATCTTCACAAAAAAAACTACACAGAAGCATTCTGAGAAACTTCTTTGTGATGTGTGCATTGATCTCACAGGGTTGAAAGTTTATTTGGATTGAGCTGTTTTGAAACACTCTTTTTCTAGAATCTGCAAGTGGATAATTGGGAGATTTGAGGCATATTGTGGAAAAGCAAATATCTTCATATAGAAACTATACAGAAACCTTCTGAGAAACATCTTTGTGATGTGTGCATTCAGCTCACAGAGCTGGACCTAACTTTTGAGTGACCAGTTTTGAATCTCTCTTTTTGTACAATATGCAAGTGGATATTTGGAGCGATTTGAGGCCTACATTTGAAAATCAAATATCTTCCCTTAAAAACTACACAGAAACATTCTCAGAAATTGTTTGTCATGTGTGCTTTCCAATTACCAAGTTGAACCTATCTTGTGATTGAGCAGTTTTGAATCTCTCTTTTTGTGGAATCGGCAAGTGGATATTTTTAGCCCTTTGCGGACTGTGGTGGAAAAGGAATTATCTTCAAATCAATTCTACACAGAAGCATTCAGACAAACTTCTTTGTGATGAGTGCATTGGTCACACAGAATTGAACCTTCCCTTTGATTGAGCAATTCTGAAACACTCTTTTGGAGGGTCTGCAAGTGGACATTTTAGAGCTTTGGGACAACTGTGGAAAAGTAAATATCTTCACATAAAAACTACACGGAAGCATTCTGAGAAACTTCTTTGGAGGTGTGCATTCAACTCACAGAGTTGAACCTATCTTTTCATTGAGCAGTTTTGAATCTCTCATTTTGTAGACTCTGCTCGCAGATATTTGGAGAGCTTTGAGGCCTATTGTGGAAAAGGAAATATCTTCACATAAAAACACACAGAAGCACTCTGAGAAACTTCTCTGTGAGGTGTGCTTTCAACTCACAGAGTTGAACCTATCTTTTGATTGAGAAGTTTTGAATCTCTCTTTTTGTAGAAGCTGCATGTGGATATTTGGAGACGTTTGTGGCCTATGGTAGAAAAGGAAATATCTTCAAATAAAAACTAGACAGACGCATTTTGAGAAAATTCTCTGTGCTGTGTGCATTCATATCACATGGTTGAAACTACCTTTGGATTGAGCAGTTTTGAATCTCACTTTTTGTACCATCTGCAATGGATATTTGGAGCCCTTTCTGGTCTGTGGTGGAAAAGGAACTATCCTCAAATAGAAACTACACAGAAGTACTCTGAGAAACTTCTTTGTGATGTGGGCATTCATCTCACAGAGTTGAACCTTTGGTTTGATTGAGCAGTTTTGAGACAATCTTTCCATAGAATCTGGAAGTGAATATTTGGAGAACTTTGAGATCCATTTTGGAGAAGGAGATATCTTTATATAAAAACCACACAGAAGCATTCTGAGAAACATCCTTGTGAGGTGTGCACTGAAGTCACAGAGTTGAAACTGTCTTTTGATTCAGCAGTTTTGAATCTCTCTTTTTGCAGAATCTGTGAGTGGATATTTGGAGCGCTTTGAGGCCTACTGTGGAAAACCAAATATCTTCACATAAAAACTACACAGAAGCATCCTGAGAAACTTTTTTTGTGATGTGGTCTTTCAGCTAATGGAGTAGAAACTATCTTTTGATTGAGCAGTTTTGAATCTCTCTTTTTGCAGGATCTACGAGTGGCTAATTGGAGAACTTTGAGGCGTACTGTGGAAAGTCGAATATCTTCGCATAAAAACTACACAGAAGCATTCTGAGAAACTTCTCTGTCATACGTACATTCATCTCACAGGGTTGATCCTATTTCATGATTGAGCAGTTTTGGAACACTCTTTTTGTAGAATCTGCAAGTGAATATTTGGAGCTCTTTGGGGCCTACTGTGGAAAAACAAATATCTTCACATAAAAACTACACAGAAGCATTCTGAGAAACTACTTTGTGATGTGTGCATTCATCCCACAGAGTAGAACCTTTCTTTTGATTGAGCAGTTTCGAAACCCTCTTTTGGTGGAATCTGCAAGTGGACATTTGGAAAGCTTTGAGGCCTATTGTGGAAAGGGAAATATCTTCAAATAAAAACCACCCAGAAGTACTCTGTGAAACTTCTTTGCGATGTATGCATTCAACTCACAGTGTTGAACCTATGTTTTGATTGAGCAGTTTGGAATCTCTCTTTCTGTAGAATCTGCAAGTGAATATTTGGAGCCCTATTTCGCCCTATACTGGAAAAGCAATTATCTTCAAATAAAAACTGCACAGAAGCACTCAGAGAAACTTCTTTGTGATGAATGCATTCATCACACAGAGTTGAACCTTTGTTTTGATTTAGCAGTTTGAGACAATCTTTCCGTAGAATCTTGAAGTGAATATTTGGAGGGCTTGGAGTTCTGTTTTAGAGAAGGAGATATCTTCATCAAAAACTACACAGAAGCTTTCCGAGAAACTTCTTTGTGATGTGTGCATTCAACTATCGGAGTTGAACCTATCTTATGATTGAGCAGTTTGGAAACACTCTTTGTAGAGTCTGCAAGTGGATATTTACAGAGATTTGAGGCCTATTGTGGAAAAGGAAGTATCTTCACATAAAAACCACACAGAAGCACTCTGAAAAACATCTTTGGGATGTGTGCATTCAACTAACCGTGTTGAAACAATGTTTTGATTGAGCAGCTTAGAATCTCTCTTTTTGTAGGAAATGCAAGTGGATATTTGGAGCCCCATTTCGCCCTATGGTGGAAAACGAAACATACTCACAAAAAAGCTGCAGAGAAGCATTCTGAGAAACTTCTTTGCGATGTTGGCATTCAACTCACAGAGTCGAATCTATCTTTTGATAGAGCAGTTTTGTATCTCTCTTTTTGCAGAATCTGCAAGTGGATATTTGGAAAGCTTTGAGGCCTATTGTGGAAAGGGAAATATCCTCAAATAAAAACTACCCAGAAGCACTCTGTGAAACTTCTTTGTGATGTGTGCATTCAACTCACAGTGTTGAACCTATGTTTTGATTGAGCAGTTTGGAATCTCTCCTTTTGTAGAATCTGCAAGTGAATATTTGGAGCCCTATTTCGCCCTATACTGGAAAAGCAAATATCTTCAAATAAAAACTACACAGAGGCATTCAGAGAAACTTCTCTGTGATGAGTGCATTCATCACACAGAGTTGAACATTTGTTTAGATTTAGCAGTGTTGAGACAATCTTTCCGTAGAATCTTGAAGTGAATATTTGGAGGGCTTTGAGACCTGCTTTGGAGAAGGAGATATCTTCATATAAAAACTACACAGAAGCTTTCTGAGAAACACCCTTGTGAGGTGTGCATTGAAGTCACAGAGTTAAACCTATCTTTTGATTCAGCAGATTTGAATCTCTCTTTTTGCAGAATCTGCGAGTGGATATTTGGAGTGCTTGGAAGCCTGCTGTGGAAAATCAAATATCTTCACAAAAAAAACTACACAGAAGCATTCTGAGAAACTTCTTTGTGATGTGTGCATTGATCTCACAGAGTTGAAAGTTTATTTTGATTGAGCTGTTTTGAAACACTCTTTTTCTAGAATCTGCAAGTGGATAATTGGGGAGATTTGAGGCATATTGTGGAAAAGCAAATATCTTCATATAAAAACTATACAGAAACCTTCTGAGAAACATCTTTGTGATGTGTGCATTCAGCTCACAGAGCTGGACCTAACTTTTGAGTGACCAGTTTTGAATCTCTCTTTTTGTACAATATGCAAGTGGATATTTGGAGCGATTTGAGGCCTACATTTGAAAATCAAATATCTTCCCTTAAAAACTACACAGAAACATTCTCAGAAATTGTTTGTCATGTGTGCTTTCCAATTACCAAGTTGAACCTATCTTGTGATTGAGCAGTTTTGAATCTCTCTTTTTGTGGAATCGGCAAGTGGATATTTTTAGCCCTTTGCGGACTGTGGTGGAAAAGGAATTATCTTCAAATCAATTCTACACAGAAGCATTCAGACAAACTTCTTTGTGATGAGTGCATTGGTCACACAGAATTGAACCTTCCCTTTGATTGAGCAATTCTGAAACACTCTTTTGGAGGGTCTGCAAGTGGATATTTTAGAGCTTTGGGACAACTGTGGAAAAGTAAATATCTTCACATAAAAACTACACGGAAGCATTCTGAGAAACTTCTTTGGAGGTGTGCATTCAACTCACAGAGTTGAACCTATCTTTTCATTGAGCAGTTTTGAATCTCTCATTTTGTAGACTCTGCTCGCAGATATTTGGAGAGCTTTGAGGCCTATTGTGGAAAAGGAAATATCTTCACATAAAAACACACAGGAAGCACTCTGAGAAACTTCTTTGTGAGGTGTGCTTTCAACTCACAGAGTTGAACCTATCTTTTGATTGAGAAGTTTTGAATCTCTCTTTTTGTAGAAGCTGCATGTGGATATTTGGAGACGTTTGTGGCCTATGGTAGAAAAGGAAATATCTTCAAATAAAAACTAGACAGACGCATTTTGAGAAAATTCTCTGTGCTGTGTGCATTCATATCACATGGTTGAAACTACCTTTGGATTGAGCAGTTTTGAATCTCACTTTTTGTACCATCTGCAATGGATATTTGGAGCCCTTTCTGGTCTGTGGTGGAAAAGGAACTATCCTCAAATAGAAACTACACAGAAGTACTCTGAGAAACTTCTTTGTGATGTGGGCATTCATCTCACAGAGTTGAACCTTTGGTTTGATTGAGCAGTTTTGAGACAATCTTTCCATAGAATCTGGAAGTGAATATTTGGAGAACTTTGAGATCCATTTTGGAGAAGAGATATCTTTATATAAAAACTACACAGAAGCATTCTGAGAAACATCCTTGTGAGGTGTGCACTGAAGTCACAGAGTTGAAACTGTCTTTTGATTCAGCAGTTTTGAATCTCTCTTTTTGCAGAATCTGTGAGTGGATATTTGGAGCGCTTTGAGGCCTACTGTGGAAAACCAAATATCTTCACATAAAAACTACACAGAAGCATCCTGAGAAACTTTTTTTGTGATGTGGTCTTTCAGCTAATGGAGTAGAAACTATCTTTTGATTGAGCAGTTTTGAATCTCTCTTTTTGCAGAATCTACGAGTGGATAATTGGAGAACTTTGAGGCGTACTTTGGAAAATCGAATATCTTCGCATAAAAACTACACAGAAGCATTCTGAGAAACTTCTCTGTCATACGTACACTCATCTCACAGGGTTGATCCTATTTCATGATTGAGCAGTTTTGGAACACTCTTTTTGTAGAATCTGCAAGTGAATATTTGGAGCTCTTTGGGGCCTACTGTGGAAAAACAAATATCTTCACATAAAAACTACACAGAAGCATTCTGAGAAACTACTTTGTGATGTGTGCATTCATCCCACAGAGTAGAACCTTTCTTTTGATTGAGCAGTTTCGAAACACTCTTTTGGTGGAATCTGCAAGTGGACATTTGGAAAGCTTTGAGGCCTATTGTGGAAAGGGAAATATCTTCAAATAAAAACCACCCAGAAGTACTCTGTGAAACTTCTTTGCGATGTATGCATTCAACTCACAGTGTTGAACCTATGTTTTGATTGAGCAGTTTGGAATCTCTCTTTCTGTAGAATCTGCAAGTGAATATTTGGAGCCCTATTTCGCCCTATACTGGAAAAGCAATTATCTTCAAATAAAAACTGCACAGAAGCACTCAGAGAAACTTCTTTGTGATGAATGCATTCATCACACAGAGTTGAACCTTTGTTTTGATTTAGCAGTTTGAGACAATCTTTCCGTAGAATCTTGAAGTGAATATTTGGAGGGCTTGGAGTTCTGTTTTAGAGAAGAAGATATCTTCATCAAAAACTACAAAGAAGCTTTCTGAGAAACTTCTTTGTGATGTGTGCATTCAACTATCGGAGTTGAACCTATCTTATGATTGAGGAGTTTGGAAACACTCTTTGTAGAGTCTGCAAGTGGATATTTACAGAGATTTGAGGCCTATTGTGGAAAAGGAAGTAT
Source organism: Homo sapiens (assembly GCF_000001405.40). NCBI lineage: Eukaryota > Metazoa > Chordata > Mammalia > Primates > Hominidae > Homo > Homo sapiens. Next base: position 18,235,828 of record NC_000015.10, read on the forward strand.
CTTCACATAAAAACCACACAGAAGCACTCTGAAAAACATCTTTGGGATGTGTGCATTCAACTAACCGTGTTGAAACAATGTTTTGATTGAGCAGCTTAGAATCTCTCTTTTTGTAGGAAATGCAAGTGGATATTTGGAGCCCCATTTCGCCCTATGGTGGAAAACGAAACATACTCACAAAAAAGCTGCAGAGAAGCATTCTGAGAAACTTCTTTGCGATGTTGGCATTCAACTCACAGAGTCGAATCTATCTTTTGATAGAGCAGTTTTGTATCTCTCTTTTTGTAGAATCTGCAAGTGGATATTTGGAAAGCTTTGAGGCCTATTGTGGAAAGGGAAATATCCTCAAATAAAAACTACCCAGAAGCACTCTGTGAAACTTCTTTGTGATGTGTGCATTCAACTCACAGTGTTGAACCTATGTTTTGATTGAGCAGTTTGGAATCTCTCCTTTTGTAGAATCTGCAAGTGAATATTTGGAGCCCTATTTCGCCCTATACTGGAAAAGCAAATATCTTCAAATAAAAACTACACAGAGGCATTCAGAGAAACTTCTCTGTGATGAGTGCATTCATCACACAGAGTTGAACATTTGTTTAGATTTAGCAGTGTTGAGACAATCTTTCCGTAGAATCTTGAAGTGAATATTTGGAGGGCTTTGAGACCTGCTTTGGAGAAGGAGATATCTTCATATAAAAACTACACAGAAGCTTTCTGAGAAACACCCTTGTGAGGTGTGCATTGAAGTCACAGAGTTAAACCTATCTTTTGATTCAGCAGATTTGAATCTCTCTTTTTGCAGAATCTGCGAGTGGATATTTGGAGTGCTTGGAAGCCTGCTGTGGAAAATCAAATATCTTCACAAAAAAAACTACACAGAAGCATTCTGAGAAACTTCTTTGTGATGTGTGCATTGATCTCACAGAGTTGAAAGTTTATTTTGATTGAGCTGTTTTGAAACACTCTTTTTCTAGAATCTGCAAGTGGATAATTGGGGAGATTTGAGGCATATTGTGGAAAAGCAAATATCTTCATATAGAAACTATACAGAAACCTTCTGAGAAACATCTTTGTGATGTGTGCATTCAGCTCACAGAGCTGGACCTAACTTTTGAGTGACCAGTTTTGAATCTCTCTTTTTGTACAATATGCAAGTGGATATTTGGAGCGATTTGAGGCCTACATTTGAAAATCAAATATCTTCCCTTAAAAACTACACAGAAACATTCTCAGAAATTGTTTGTCATGTGTGCTTTCCAATTACCAAGTTGAACCTATCTTGTGATTGAGCAGTTTTGAATCTCTCTTTTTGTGGAATCGGCAAGTGGATATTTTTAGCCCTTTGCGGACTGTGGTGGAAAAGGAATTATCTTCAAATCAATTCTACACAGAAGCATTCAGACAAACTTCTTTGTGATGAGTGCATTGGTCACACAGAATTGAACCTTCCCTTTGATTGAGCAATTCTGAAACACTCTTTTGGAGGGTCTGCAAGTGGATATTTTAGAGCTTTGGGACAACTGTGGAAAAGTAAATATCTTCACATAAAAACTACACGGAAGCATTCTGAGAAACTTCTTTGGAGGTGTGCATTCAACTCACAGAGTTGAACCTATCTTTTCATTGAGCAGTTTTGAATCTCTCATTTTGTAGACTCTGCTCGCAGATATTTGGAGAGCTTTGAGGCCTATTGTGGAAAAGGAAATATCTTCACATCATAAAAACACACAGAAGCACTCTGAGAAACTTCTTTGTGAGGTGTGCTTTCAACTCACAGAGTTGAACCTATCTTTTGATTGAGAAGTTTTGAATCTCTCTTTTTGTAGAAGCTGCATGTGGATATTTGGAGACGTTTGTGGCCTATGGTAGAAAAGGAAATATCTTCAAATAAAAACTAGACAGACGCATTTTGAGAAAATTCTCTGTGCTGTGTGCATTCATATCACATGGTTGAAACTACCTTTGGATTGAGCAGTTTTGAATCTCACTTTTTGTACCATCTGCAATGGATATTTGGAGCCCTTTCTGGTCTGTGGTGGAAAAGGAACTATCCTCAAATAGAAACTACACAGAAGTACTCTGAGAAACTTCTTTGTGATGTGGGCATTCATCTCACAGAGTTGAACCTTTGGTTTGATTGAGCAGTTTTGAGACAATCTTTCCATAGAATCTGGAAGTGAATATTTGGAGAACTTTGAGATCCATTTTGGAGAAGGAGATATCTTTATATGAAACCACACAGAAGCATTCTGAGAAACATCCTTGTGAGGTGTGCACTGAAGTCACAGAGTTGAAACTGTCTTTTGATTCAGCAGTTTTGAATCTCTCTTTTTGCAGAATCTGTGAGTGGATATTTGGAGCGCTTTGAGGCCTACTGTGGAAAACCAAATATCTTCACATAAAAACTACACAGAAGCATCCTGAGAAACTTTTTTTGTGATGTGGTCTTTCAGCTAATGGAGTAGAAACTATCTTTTGATTGAGCAGTTTTGAATCTCTCTTTTTGCGGGATCTACGAGTGGATAATTGGAGAACTTTGAGGCGTACTGTGGAAAATCGAATATCTTCGCATAAAAACTACACAGAAGCATTCTGAGAAACTTCTCTGTCATACGTACATTCGTCTCACAAGGTTGATCCTATTTCATGATTGAGCAGTTTTGGAACACTCTTTTTGTAGAATCTGCAAGTGAATATTTGGAGCTCTTTGGGGCCTACTGTGGAAAAACAAATATCTTCACATAAAAACTACACAGAAGCATTCTGAGAAACTACTTTGTGATGTGTGCATTCATCCCACAGAGTAGAAACTTACTTTTGATTGAGCAGTTTCGAAACACTCTTTTGGTGGAATCTGCAAGTGGACATTTGGAAAGCTTTGAGGCCTATTGTGGAAAGGGAAATATCTTCAAATAAAAACCACCCAGAAGTACTCTGTGAAACTTCTTTGCGATGTATGCATTCAACTCACAGTGTTGAACCTATGTTTTGATTGAGCAGTTTGGAATCTCTCTTTCTGTAGAATCTGCAAGTGAATATTTGGAGCCCTATTTCGCCCTATACTGGAAAAGCAATTATCTTCAAATAAAAACTGCACAGAAGCATTCAGAGAAACTTCTTTGAGATGAATGCATTCATGACACAGAGTTGAAACTTTGTTTTGATTTAGGAGATTTGAGACAATCTTTCCGTAGAATCTTGAAGTGAATATTTGGAGGGCTTGGAGTTCTGTTTTAGAGAAGAAGATATCTTCATCAAAAACTACACAGAAGCTTTCCGAGAAACTTCTTTGTGATGTGTGCATTCAACTATCGGAGTTGAACCTATCTTATGATTGAGCAGTTTGGAAACACTCTTTGTAGAGTCTGCAAGTGGATATTTACAGAGATTTGAGGCCTATTGTGGAAAAGGAAGTATCTTCACATAAAAACCACACAGAAGCACTCTGAAAAACATCTTTGGGATGTGTGCATTCAACTAACCGTGTTGAAACAATGTTTTGATTGAGCAGCTTAGAATCTCTCTTTTTGTAGGAAATGCAAGTGGATATTTGGAGCCCCATTTCGCCCTATGGTGGAAAACGAAACATACTCACAAAAAAGCTGCAGAGAAGCATTCTGAGAAACTTCTTTGCGATGTTGGCATTCAACTCACAGAGTCGAATCTATCTTTTGATAGAGCAGTTTTGTATCTCTCTTTTTGCAGAATCTGCAAGTGGATATTTGGAAAGCTTTGAGGCCTATTGTGGAAAGGGAAATATCCTCAAATAAAAACTACCCAGAAGCACTCTGTGAAACTTCTTTGTGATGTGTGCATTCAACTCACAGTGTTGAACCTATGTTTTGATTGAGCAGTTTGGAATCTCTCCTTTTGTAGAATCTGCAAGTGAATATTTGGAGCCCTATTTCGCCCTATACTGGAAAAGCAAATATCTTCAAATAAAAACTACACAGAGGCATTCAGAGAAACTTCTCTGTGATGAGTGCATTCATCACACAGAGTTGAACATTTGTTTAGATTTAGCAGTGTTGAGACAATCTTTCCGTAGAATCTTGAAGTGAATATTTGGAGGGCTTTGAGACCTGCTTTGGAGAAGGAGATATCTTCATATAAAAACTACACAGAAGCTTTCTGAGAAACACCCTTGTGAGGTGTGCATTGAAGTCACAGAGTTAAACCTATCTTTTGATTCAGCAGATTTGAATCTCTCTTTTTGCAGAATCTGCGAGTGGATATTTGGAGTGCTTGGAAGCCTGCTGTGGAAAATCAAATATCTTCACAAAAAAACTACACAGAAGCATTCTGAGAAACTTCTTTGTGATGTGTGCATTGATCTCACAGAGTTGAAAGTTTATTTGGATTGAGCTGTTTTGAAACACTCTTTTTCTAGAATCTGCAAGTGGATAATTGGGGAGATTTGAGGCATATTGTGGAAAAGCAAATATCTTCATATAGAAACTATACAGAAACCTTCTGAGAAACATCTTTGTGATGTGTGCATTCAGCTCACAGAGCTGGACCTAACTTTTGAGTGACCAGTTTTGAATCTCTCTTTTTGTACAATATGCAAGTGGATATTTGGAGCGATTTGAGGCCTACATTTGAAAATCAAATATCTTCCCTTAAAAACTACACAGAAACATTCTCAGAAATTGTTTGTCATGTGTGCTTTCCAATTACCAAGTTGAACCTATCTTGTGATTGAGCAGTTTTGAATCTCTCTTTTTGTGGAATCGGCAAGTGGATATTTTTAGCCCTTTGCGGACTGTGGTGGAAAAGGAATTATCTTCAAATCAATTCTACACAGAAGCATTCAGACAAACTTCTTTGTGATGAGTGCATTGGTCACACAGAATTGAACCTTCCACTTGATTGAGCAATTCTGAAACACTCTTTTGGAGGGTCTGCAAGTGGATATTTTAGAGCTTTGGGACAACTGTGGAAAAGTAAATATCTTCACATAAAAACTACACGGAAGCATTCTGAGAAACTTCTTTGGAGGTGTGCATTCAACTCACAGAGTTGAACCTATCTTTTCATTGAGCAGTTTTGAATCTCTCATTTTGTAGACTCTGCTCGCAGATATTTGGAGAGCTTTGAGGCCTATTGTGGAAAAGGAAATATCTTCACATAAAAACACACAGAAGCACTCTGAGAAACTTCTTTGTGAGGTGTGCTTTCAACTCACAGAGTTGAACCTATCTTTTGATTGAGAAGTTTTGAATCTCTCTTTTTGTAGAAGCTGCATGTGGATATATGGAGACGTTTGTGGCCTATGGTAGAAAAGGAAATATCTTCAAATAAAAACTAGACAGACGCATTTTGAGAAAATTCTCTGTGCTGTGTGCATTCATATCACATGGTTGAAACTACCTTTGGATTGAGCAGTTTTGAATCTCACTTTTTGTACCATCTGCAATGGATATTTGGAGCCCTTTCTGGTCTGTGGTGGAAAAGGAACTATCCTCAAATAGAAACTACACAGAAGTACTCTGAGAAACTTCTTTGTGATGTGGGCATTCATCTCACAGAGTTGAACCTTTGGTTTGATTGAGCAGTTTTGAGACAATCTTTCCATAGAATCTGGAAGTGAATATTTGGAGAACTTTGAGATCCATTTTGGAGAAGGAGATATCTTTATATGAAAACTACACAGAAGCATTCTGAGAAACATCCTTGTGAGGTGTGCACTGAAGTCACAGAGTTGAAACTGTCTTTTGATTCAGCAGTTTTGAATCTCTCTTTTTGCAGAATCTGTGAGTGGATATTTGGAGCGCTTTGAGGCCTACTGTGGAAAACCAAATATCTTCACATAAAAACTACACAGAAGCATCCTGAGAAACTTTTTTTGTGATGTGGTCTTTCAGCTAATGGAGTAGAAACTATCTTTTGATTGAGCAGTTTTGAGTCTCTCTTTTTGCAGAATCTACGAATGGATAATTGGAGAACTTTGAGGCGTACTGTGGAAAATCGAATATCTTCGCATAAAAACTACACAGAAGCATTCTGAGAAACTTCTCTGTCATACGTACATTCATCTCACAGGGTTGATCCTATTTCATGATTGAGCAGTTTTGGAACACTCTTTTTGTAGAATCTGCAAGTGAATATTTGGAGCTCTTTGGGGCCTACTGTGGAAAAACAAATATCTTCACATAAAAACTACACAGAAGCATTCTGAGAAACTACTTTGTGATGTGTGCATTCATCCCACAGAGTAGAACCTTTCTTTTGATTGAGCAGTTTCGAAACACTCTTTTGGTGGAATCTGCAAGTGGACATTTGGAAAGCTTTGAGGCCTATTGTGGAAAGGGAAATATCTTCAAATAAAAACCACCCAGAAGTACTCTGTGAAACTTCTTTGCGATGTATGCATTCAACTCACAGTGTTGAACCTATGTTTTGATTGAGCAGTTTGGAATCTCTCTTTCTGTAGAATCTGCAAGTGAATATTTGGAGCCCTATTTCGCCCTATACTGGAAAAGCAATTATCTTCAAATAAAAACTGCACAGAAGCACTCAGAGAAACTTCTTTGAGATGAATGCGTTCATGACACAGAGTTGAAACTTTGTTTTGATTTAGGAGTTTTGAGACAATCTTTCCGTAGAATCTTGAAGTGAATATTTGGAGGGCTTGGAGTTCTGTTTTAGAGAAGGAGATATCTTCATCAAAAACTACACAGAAGCTTTCTGAGAAACTTCTTTGTGATGTGTGCATTCAACTATCGGAGTTGAACCTATCTTATGATTGAGCAGTTTGGAAACACTCTTTGTAGAGTCTGCAAGTGGATATTTACAGAGATTTGAGGCCTATTGTGGAAAAGGAAGTATCTTCACATAAAAACCACACAGAAGCACTCTGAAAAACATCTTTGGGATGTGTGCATTCAACTAACCGTGTTGAAACAATGTTTTGATTGAGCAGCTTAGAATCTCTCTTTTTGTAGGAAATGCAAGTGGATATTTGGAGCCCCATTTCGCCCTATGGTGGAAAACGAAACATACTCACAAAAAAGCTGCAGAGAAGCATTCTGAGAAACTTCTTTGCGATGTTGGCATTCAACTCACAGAGTCGAATCTATCTTTTGATAGAGCAGTTTTGTATCTCTCTTTTTGCAGAATCTGCAAGTGGATATTTGGAAAGCTTTGAGGCCTATTGTGGAAAGGGAAATATCCTCAAATAAAAACTACCCAGAAGCACTCTGTGAAACTTCTTTGTGATGTGTGCATTCAACTCACAGTGTTGAACCTATGTTTTGATTGAGCAGTTTGGAATCTCTCCTTTTGTAGAATCTGCAAGTGAATATTTGGAGCCCTATTTCGCCCTATACTGGAAAAGCAAATATCTTCAAATAAAAACTACACAGAGGCATTCAGAGAAACTTCTCTGTGATGAGTGCATTCATCACACAGAGTTGAACATTTGTTTAGATTTAGCAGTGTTGAGACAATCTTTCCGTAGAATCTTGAAGTGAATATTTGGAGGGCTTTGAGACCTGCTTTGGAGAAGGAGATATCTTCATATAAAAACTACACAGAAGCTTTCTGAGAAACACCCTTGTGAGGTGTGCATTGAAGTCACAGAGTTAAACCTATCTTTTGATTCAGCAGATTTGAATCTCTCTTTTTGCAGAATCTGCGAGTGGATATTTGGAGTGCTTGGAAGCCTGCTGTGGAAAATCAAATATCTTCACAAAAAAAACTACACAGAAGCATTCTGAGAAACTTCTTTGTGATGTGTGCATTGATCTCACAGAGTTGAAAGTTTATTTTGATTGAGCTGTTTTGAAACACTCTTTTTCTAGAATCTGCAAGTGGATAATTGGGGAGATTTGAGGCATATTGTGGAAAAGCCAATATCTTCATATAGAAACTATACAGAAACCTTCTGAGAAACATCTTTGTGATGTGTGCATTCAGCTCACAGAGCTGGACCTAACTTTTGAGTGACCAGTTTTGAATCTCTCTTTTTGTACAATATGCAAGTGGATATTTGGAGCGATTTGAGGCCTACATTTGAAAATCAAATATCTTCCCCTTAAAAACTACACAGAAACATTCTCAGAAATTGTTTGTCATGTGTGCTTTCCAATTACCAAGTTGAACCTATCTTGTGATTGAGCAGTTTTGAATCTCTCTTTTTGTGGAATCGGCAAGTGGATATTTTTAGCCCTTTGCGGACTGTGGTGGAAAAGGAATTATCTTCAAATCAATTCTACACAGAAGCATTCAGACAAACTTCTTTGTGATGAGTGCATTGGTCACACAGAATTGAACCTGCCCTTTGATTGAGCAATTCTGAAACACTCTTTTGGAGGGTCTGCAAGTGGACATTTTAGAGCTTTGGGACAACTGTGGAAAAGTAAATATCTTCACATAAAAACTACACGGAAGCATTCTGAGAAACTTCTTTGGAGGTGTGCATTCAACACACAGAGTTGAACCTATCTTTTCATTGAGCAGTTTTGAATCTCTCATTTTGTAGACTCTGCTCGCAGATATTTGGAGAGCTTTGAGGCCTATTGTGGAAAAGGAAATATCTTCACATAAAAACACACAGAAGCACTCTGAGAAACTTCTTTGTGAGGTGTGCTTTCAACTCACAGAGTTGAACCTATCTTTTGATTGAGAAGTTTTGAATCTCTCTTTTTGTAGAAGCTGCATGTGGATATTTGGAGACGTTTGTGGCCTATGGTAGAAAAGGAAATATCTTCAAATAAAAACTAGACAGACGCATTTTGAGAAAATTCTCTGTGCTGTGTGCATTCATATCACATGGTTGAAACTACCTTTGGATTGAGCAGTTTTGAATCTCACTTTTTGTACCATCTGCAATGGATATTTGGAGCCCTTTCTGGTCTGTGGTGGAAAAGGAACTATCCTCAAATAGAAACTACACAGAAGTACTCTGAGAAACTTCTTTGTGATGTGGGCATTCATCTCACAGAGTTGAACCTTTGGTTTGATTGAGCAGTTTTGAGACAATCTTTCCATAGAATCTGGAAGTGAATATTTGGAGAACTTTGAGATCCATTTTGGAGAAGGAGATATCTTTATATGAAAACTACACAGAAGCATTCTGAGAAACATCCTTGTGAGGTGTGCACTGAAGTCACAGAGTTGAAACTGTCTTTTGATTCAGCAGTTTTGAATCTCTCTTTTTGCAGAATCTGTGAGTGGATATTTGGAGCGCTTTGAGGCCTACTGTGGAAAACCAAATATCTTCACATAAAAACTACACAGAAGCATCCTGAGAAACTTTTTTTGTGATGTGGTCTTTCAGCTAATGGAGTAGAAACTATCTTTTGATTGAGCAGTTTTGAATCTCTCTTTTTGCATAATCTACGAGTGGATAATTGGAGAACTTTGAGGCGTACTGTGGAAAATCGAATATCTTCGCATAAAAACTACACAGAAGCATTCTGAGAAACTTCTCTGTCATACGTACATTCATCTCACAGGGTTGATCCTATTTCATGATTGAGCAGTTTTGGAACACTCTTTTTGTAGAATCTGCAAGTGAATATTTGGAGCTCCTTGGGGCCTACTGTGGAAAAACAAATATCTTCACATAAAAACTACACAGAAGCATTCTGAGAAACTACTTTGTGATGTGTGCATTCATCCCACAGAGTAGAACCTTTCTTTTGATTGAGCAGTTTCGAAACACTCTTTTGGTGGAATCTGCAAGTGGACATTTGGAAAGCTTTGAGGCCTATTGTGGAAAGGGAAATATCTTCAAATAAAAACCACCCAGAAGTACTCTGTGAAACTTCTTTGCGATGTATGCATTCAACTCACAGTGTTGAACCTATGTTTTGATTGAGCAGTTTGGAATCTCTCTTTCTGTAGAATCTGCAAGTGAATATTTGGAGCCCTATTTCGCCCTATACTGGAAAAGCAATTATCTTCAAATAAAAACTGCCCAGAAGCATTCAGAGAAACTTCTTTGAGATGAATGCATTCATGACACAGAGTTGAAACTTTGTTTTGATTTAGGAGTTTTGAGACAATCTTTCCGTAGAATCTTGAAGTGAATATTTGGAGGGCTTGGAGTTCTGTTTTAGAGAAGGAGATATCTTCATCAAAAACTACACAGAAGCTTTCTGAGAAACTTCTTTGTGATGTGTGCATTCAACTATCGGAGTTGAACCTATCTTATGATTGAGCAGTTTGGAAACACTCTTTGTAGAGTCTGCAAGTGGATATTTACAGAGATTTGAGGCCTATTGTGGAAAAGGAAGTATCTTCACATAAAAACCACACAGAAGCACTCTGAAAAACATCTTTGGGATGTGTGCATTCAACTAACCGTGTTGAAACAATGTTTTGATTGAGCAGCTTAGAATCTCTCTTTTTGTAGGAAATGCAAGTGGATATTTGGAGCCCCATTTCGCCCTATGGTGGAAAACGAAACATACTCACAAAAAAGCTGCAGAGAAGCATTCTGAGAAACTTCTTTGCGATGTTGGCATTCAACTCACAGAGTCGAATCTATCTTTTGATAGAGCAGTTTTGTATCTCTCTTTTTGCAGAATCTGCAAGTGGATATTTGGAAAGCTTTGAGGCCTATTGTGGAAAGGGAAATATCCTCAAATAAAAACTACCCAGAAGCACTCTGTGAAACTTCTTTGTGATGTGTGCATTCAACTCACAGTGTTGAACCTATGTTTTGATTGAGCAGTTTGGAATCTCTCCTTTTGTAGAATCTGCAAGTGAATATTTGGAGCCCTATTTCGCCCTATACTGGAAAAGCAAATATCTTCAAATAAAAACTACACAGAGGCATTCAGAGAAACTTCTCTGTGATGAGTGCATTCATCACACAGAGTTGAACATTTGTTTAGATTTAGCAGTGTTGAGACAATCTTTCCGTAGAATCTTGAAGTGAATATTTGGAGGGCTTTGAGACCTGCTTTGGAGAAGGAGATATCTTCATATAAAAACTACACAGAAGCTTTCTGAGAAACACCCTTGTGAGGTGTGCATTGAAGTCACAGAGTTAAACCTATCTTTTGATTCAGCAGATTTGAATCTCTCTTTTTGCAGAATCTGCGAGTGGATATTTGGAGTGCTTGGAAGCCTGCTGTGGAAAATCAAATATCTTCACAAAAAAAACTACACAGAAGCATTCTGAGAAACTTCTTTGTGATGTGTGCATTGATCTCACAGAGTTGAAAGTTTATTTGGATTGAGCTGTTTTGAAACACTCTTTTTCTAGAATCTGCAAGTGGATAATTGGGGAGATTTGAGGCATATTGTGGAAAAGCAAATATCTTCATATAGAAACTATACAGAAACCTTCTGAGAAACATCTTTGTGATGTGTGCATTCAGCTCACAGAGCTGGACCTAACTTTTGAGTGACCAGTTTTGAATCTCTCTTTCTGTACAATATGCAAGTGGATATTTGGAGCGATTTGAGGCCTACATTTGAAAATCAAATATCTTCCCTTAAAAACTACACAGAAACATTCTCAGAAATTGTTTGTCATGTGTGCTTTCCAATTACCAAGTTGAACGTATCTTGTGATTGAGCAGTTTTGAATCTCTCTTTTTGTGGAATCGGCAAGTGGATATTTTTAGCCCTTTGCGGACTGTGGTGGAAAAGGAATTATCTTCAAATCAATTCTACACAGAAGCATTCAGACAAACTTCTTTGTGATGAGTGCATTGGTCACACAGAATTGAACCTTCCCTTTGATTGAGCAATTCTGAAACACTCTTTTGGAGGGTCTGCAAGTGGACATTTTAGAGCTTTGGGACAACTGTGGAAAAGTAAATATCTTCACATAAAAACTACACGGAAGCATTCTGAGAAACTTCTTTGGAGGTGTGCATTCAACTCACAGAGTTGAACCTATCTTTTCATTGAGCAGTTTTGAATCTCTCATTTTGTAGACTCTGCTCGCAGATATTTGGAGAGCTTTGAGGCCTGTTGTGGAAAAGGAAATATCTTCACATAAAAACACACAGAAGCACTCTGAGAAACTTCTCTGTGAGGTGTGCTTTCAACTCACAGAGTTGAACCTATCTTTTGATTGAGAAGTTTTGAATCTCTCTTTTTGTAGAAGCTGCATGTGGATATTTGGAGACGTTTGTGGCCTATGGTAGAAAAGGAAATATCTTCAAATAAAAACTAGACAGACGCATTTTGAGAAAATTCTCTGTGCTGTGTGCATTCATATCACATGGTTGAAACTACCTTTGGATTGAGCAGTTTTGAATCTCACTTTTTGTACCATCTGCAATGGATATTTGGAGCTCTTTCTGGTCTGTGGTGGAAAAGGAACTATCCTCAAATAGAAACTACACAGAAGTACTCTGAGAAACTTCTTTGTGATGTGGGCATTCATCTCACAGAGTTGAACCTTTGGTTTGATTGAGCAGTTTTGAGACAATCTTTCCATAGAATCTGGAAGTGAATATTTGGAGAACTTTGAGATCCATTTTGGAGAAGGAGATACCTTTATATGAAAACTACACAGAAGCATTCTGAGAAACATCCTTGTGAGGTGTGCACTGAAGTCACAGAGTTGAAACTGTCTTTTGATTCAGCAGTTTTGAATCTCTCTTTTTGCAGAATCTGTGAGTGGATATTTGGAGCGCTTTGAGGCCTACTGTGGAAAACCAAATATCTTCACATAAAAACTACACAGAAGCATCCTGAGAAACTTTTTTTGTGATGTGGTCTTTCAGCTAATGGAGTAGAAAGTATCTTTTGATTGAGCAGTTTTGAGTCTCTCTTTTTGCAGGATCTACGAGTGGATAATTGGAGAACTTTGAGGCGTACTGTGGAAAATCGAATATCTTCGCATAAAAACTACACAGAAGCATTCTGAGAAACTTCTCTGTCATACGTACATTCATCTCACAGGGTTGATCCTATTTCATGATTGAGCAGTTTTGGAACACTCTTTTTGTAGAATCTGCAAGTGAATATTTGGAGCTCTTTGGGGCCTACTGTGGAAAAACAAATATCTTCACATAAAAACTACACAGAAGCATTCTGAGAAACTACTTTGTGATGTGTGCATTCATCCCACAGAGTAGAACCTTTCTTTTGATTGAGCAGTTTCGAAACACTCTTTTGGTGGAATCTGCAAGTGGACATTTGGAAAGCTTTGAAGCCTATTGTGGAAAGGGAAATATCTTCAAATAAAAACCACCCAGAAGTACTCTGTGAAACTTCTTTGCGATGTATGCATTCAACTCACAGTGTTGAACCTATGTTTTGATTGAGCAGTTTGGAATCTCTCTTTCTGTAGAATCTGCAAGTGAATATTTGGAGCCCTATTTCGCCCTATACTGGAAAAGCAATTATCTTCAAATAAAAACTGCACAGAAGCATTCAGAGAAACTTCTTTGAGATGAATGCATTCATGACAGAGAGTTGAAACTTTGTTTTGATTTAAGAGTTTTGAGACAATCTTTCCGTAGAATCTTGAAGTGAATATTTGGAGGGCTTGGAGTTCTGTTTTAGAGAAGAAGATATCTTCATCAAAAACTACACAGAAGCTTTCTGAGAAACTTCTTTGTGATGTGTGCATTCAACTATCGGAGTTGAACCTATCTTATGATTGAGCAGTTTATAAACACTCTTTGTAGAGTCTGCAAGTGGATATTTACAGAGATTTGAGGCCTATTGTGGAAAAGGAAGTATCTTCACATAAAAACCACACAGAAGCACTCTGAAAAACATCTTTGGGATGTGTGCATTCAACTAACCGTGTTGAAACAATGTTTTGATTGAGCAGCTTAGAATCTCTCTTTTTGTAGGAAATGCAAGTGGATATTTGGAGCCCCATTTCGCCCTATGGTGGAAAACGAAACATACTCACAAAAAAGCTGCAGAGAAGCATTTTGAGAAACTTCTTTGCGATGTTGGCATTCAACTCACCGAGTCGAATCTATCTTTTGATAGAGCAGTTTTGTATCTCTCTTTTTGCAGAATCTGCAAGTGGATATTTGGAAAGCTTTGAGGCCTATTGTGGAAAGGGAAATATCCTCAAATAAAAACTACCCAGAAGCACTCTGTGAAACTTCTTTGTGATGTGTGCATTCAACTCACAGTGTTGAACCTATGTTTTGATTGAGCAGTTTGGAATCTCTCCTTTTGTAGAATCTGCAAGTGAATATTTGGAGCCCTATTTCGCCCTATACTGGAAAAGCAAATATCTTCAAATAAAAACTACACAGAGGCATTCAGAGAAACTTCTCTGTGATGAGTGCATTCATCACACAGAGTTGAACATTTGTTTAGATTTAGCAGTGTTGAGACAATCTTTCCGTAGAATCTTGAAGTGAATATTTGGAGGGCTTTGAGACCTGCTTTGGAGAAGGAGATATCTTCATATAAAAACTACACAGAAGCTTTCTGAGAAACACCCTTGTGAGGTGTGCATTGAAGTCACAGAGTTAAACCTATCTTTTGATTCAGCAGATTTGAATCTCTCTTTTTGCAGAATCTGCGAGTGGATATTTGGAGTGCTTGGAAGCCTGCTGTGGAAAATCAAATATCTTCACAAAAAAAACTACACAGAAGCATTCTGAGAAACTTCTTTGGGATGTGTGCATTGATCTCACAGAGTTGAAAGTTTATTTTGATTGAGCTGTTTTGAAACACTCTTTTTCTAGAATCTGCAAGTGGATAATTGGGGAGATTTGAGGCATATTGTGGAAAAGCAAATATCTTCATATAGAAACTATACAGAAACCTTCTGAGAAACATCTTTGTGATGTGTGCATTCAGCTCACAGAGCTGGACCTAACTTTTGAGTGACCAGTTTTGAATCTCTCTTTTTGTACAATATGCAAGTGGATATTTGGAGCGATTTGAGGCCTACATTTGAAAATCAAATATCTTCCCTTAAAAACTACACAGAAACATTCTCAGAAATTGTTTGTCATGTGTGCTTTCCAATTACCAAGTTGAACCTATCTTGTGATTGAGCAGTTTTGAATCTCTCTTTTTGTGGAATCGGCAAGTGGATATTTTTAGCCCTTTGCGGACTGTGGTGGAAAAGGAATTATCTTCAAATCAATTCTACACAGAAGCATTCAGACAAACTTCTTTGTGATGAGTGCATTGGTCACACAGAATTGAACCTTCCCTTTGATTGAGCAATTCTGAAACACTCTTTTGGAGGGTCTGCAAGTGGATATTTTAGAGCTTTGGGACAACTGTGGAAAAGTAAATATCTTCACATAAAAACTACACGGAAGCATTCTGAGAAACTTCTTTGGAGGTGTGCATTCAACTCACAGAGTTGAACCTATCTTTTCATTGAGCAGTTTTGAATCTCTCATTTTGTAGACTCTGCTCGCAGATATTTGGAGAGCTTTGAGGCCTATTGTGGAAAAGGAAATATCTTCACATAAAAACACACAGAAGCACTCTGAGAAACTTCTTTGTGAGGTGTGCTTTCAACTCACAGAGTTGAACCTATCTTTTGATTGAGAAGTTTTGAATCTCTCTTTTTGTAGAAGCTGCATGTGGATATTTGGAGACGTTTGTGGCCTATGGTAGAAAAGGAAATATCTTCAAATAAAAACTAGACAGACGCATTTTGAGAAAATTCTCTGTGCTGTGTGCATTCATATCACATGGTTGAAACTACCTTTGGATTGAGCAGTTTTGAATCTCACTTTTTGTACCATCTGCAATGGATATTTGGAGCCCTTTCTGGTCTGTGGTGGAAAAGGAACTATCCTCAAATAGAAACTACACAGAAGTACTCTGAGAAACTTCTTTGTGATGTGTGCATTCATCTCACAGAGTTGAACCTTTGGTTTGATTGAGCAGTTTTGAGACAATCTTTCCATAGAATCTGGAAGTGAATATTTGGAGAACTTTGAGATCCATTTTGGAGAAGGAGATATCTTTATATAAAAACTACACAGAAGCATTCTGAGAAACATCCTTGTGAGGTGTGCACTGAAGTCACAGAGTTGAAACTGTCTTTTGATTCAGCAGTTTTGAATCTCTCTTTTTGCAGAATCTGTGAGTGGATATTTGGAGCGCTTTGAGGCCTACTGTGGAAAACCAAATATCTTCACATAAAAACTACACAGAAGCATCCTGAGAAACTTTTTTTGTGATGTGGTCTTTCAGCTAAATGGAGTAGAAACTATCTTTTGATTGAGCAGTTTTGAATCTCTCTTTTTGCAGAATCTACGAGTGGATAATTGGAGAACTTTGAGGCGTACTGTGGAAAATCGAATATCTTCGCATAAAAACTACACAGAAGCATTCTGAGAAACTTCTCTGTCATACGTACATTCATCTCACAGGGTTGATCCTATTTCATGATTGAGCAGTTTTGGAACACTCTTTTTGTAGAATCTGCAAGTGAATATTTGGAGCTCTTTGGGGCCTACTGTGGAAAAACAAATATCTTCACATAAAAACTACACAGAAGCATTCTGAGAAACTACTTTGTGATGTGTGCATTCACCCCACAGAGTAGAACCTTTCTTTTGATTGAGCAGTTTTGAAACACTCTTTTGGTGGAATCTGCAAGTGGACATTTGGAAAGCTTTGAGGCCTATTGTGGAAAGGGAAATATCTTCAAATAAAAACCACCCAGAAGTACTCTGTGAAACTTCTTTGCGATGTATGCATTCAACTCACAGTGTTGAACCTATGTTTTGATTGAGCAGTTTGGAATCTCTCTTTCTGTAGAATCTGCAAGTGAATATTTGGAGCCCTATTTCGCCCTATACTGGAAAAGCAATTATCTTCAAATAAAAACTGCACAGAAGCATTCAGAGAAAGTTCTTTGAGATGAATGCATTCATGACACAGAGTTGAAACTTTGTTTTGATTTAGGAGTTTTGAGACAATCTTTCTGTAGAATCTTGAAGTGAATATTTGGAGGGCTTGGAGTTCTGTTTTAGAGAAGGAGATATCTTCATCAAAAACTACACAGAAGCTTTCTGAGAAACTTCTTTGTGATGTGTGCATTCAACTATCGGAGTTGAACCTATCTTATGATTGAGGAGTTTGGAAACACTCTTTGTAGAGTCTGCAAGTGGATATTTACAGAGATTTGAGGCCTATTGTGGAAAAGGAAGTATCTTCACATAAAAACCACACAGAAGCACTCTGAAAAACATCTTTGGGATGTGTGCATTCAACTAACCGTGTTGAAACAATGTTTTGATTGAGCAGCTTAGAATCTCTCTTTTTGTAGGAAATGCAAGTGGATATTTGGAGCCCCATTTCGCCCTATGGTGGAAAACGAAACATACTCACAAAAAAGCTGCAGAGAAGCATTCTGAGAAACTTCTTTGCGATGTTGGCATTCAACTCACAGAGTCGAATCTATCTTTTGATAGAGCAGTTTTGTATCTCTCTTTTTGCAGAATCTGCAAGTGGATATTTGGAATGCTTTGAGGCCTATTGTGGAAAGGGAAATATCCTCAAATAAAAACTACCCAGAAGCACTCTGTGAAACTTCTTTGTGATGTGTGCATTCAACTCACAGTGTTGAACCTATGTTTTGATTGAGCAGTTTGGAATCTCTCCTTTTGTAGAATCTGCAAGTGAATATTTGGAGCCCTATTTCGCCCTATACTGGAAAAGCAAATATCTTCAAATAAAAACTACACAGAGGCCTTCAGAGAAACTTCTCTGTGATGAGTGCATTCATCACACAGAGTTGAACATTTGTTTAGATTTAGCAGTGTTGAGACAATCTTTCCGTAGAATCTTGAAGTGAATATTTGGAGGGCTTTGAGACCTGCTTTGGAGAAGGAGATATCTTCATATAAAAACTACACAGAAGCTTTCTGAGAAACACCCTTGTGAGGTGTGCATTGAAGTCACAGAGTTAAACCTATCTTTTGATTCAGCAGATTTGAATCTCTCTTTTTGCAGAATCTGCGAGTGGATATTTGGAGTGCTTGGAAGCCTGCTGTGGAAAATCAAATATCTTCACAAAAAAAACTACACAGAAGCATTCTGAGAAACTTCTTTGTGATGTGTGCATTGATCTCACAGAGTTGAAAGTTTATTTTGATTGAGCTGTTTTGAAACACACTTTTTCTAGAATCTGCAAGTGGATAATTGGGGAGATTTGAGGCATATTGTGGAAAAGCAAATATCTTCATATAGAAACTATACAGAAACCTTCTGAGAAACATCTTTGTGATGTGTGCATTCAGCTCACAGAGCTGGACCTAACTTTTGAGTGACCAGTTTTGAATCTCTCTTTTTGTACAATATGCAAGTGGATATTTGGAGCGATTTGAGGCCTACATTTGAAAATCAAATATCTTCCCTTAAAAACTACACAGAAACATTCTCAGAAATTGTTTGTCATGTGTGCTTTCCAATTACCAAGTTGAACCTATCTTGTGATTGAGCAGTTTTGAATCTCTCTTTTTGTGGAATCGGCAAGTGGATATTTTTAGCCCTTTGCGGACTGTGGTGGAAAAGGAATTATCTTCAAATCAATTCTACACAGAAGCATTCAGACAAACTTCTTTGTGATGAGTGCATTGGTCACACAGAATTGAAACTTCCCTTTGATTGAGCAATTCTGAAACACTCTTTTGGAGGGTCTGCAAGTGGATATTTTAGAGCTTTGGGACAACTGTGGAAAAGTAAATATCTTCACATAAAAACTACACGGAAGCATTCTGAGAAACTTCTTTGGAGGTGTGCATTCAACTCACAGAGTTGAACCTATCTTTTCATTGAGCAGTTTTGAATCTCTCATTTTGTAGACTCTGCTCGCAGATATTTGGAGAGCTTTGAGGCCTATTGTGGAAAAGGAAATATCTTCACATAAAAACACACAGAAGCACTCTGAGAAACTTCTTTGTGAGGTGTGCTTACAACTCACAGAGTTGAACCTATCTTTTGATTGAGAAGTTTTGAATCTCTCTTTTTGTAGAAGCTGCATGTGGATATTTGGAGACGTTTGTGGCCTATGGTAGAAAAGGAAATATCTTCAAATAAAAACTAGACAGACGCATTTTGAGAAAATTCTCTGTGCTGTGTGCATTCATATCACATGGTTGAAACTACCTTTGGATTGAGCAGTTTTGAATCTCACTTTTTGTACCATCTGCAATGGATATTTGGAGCCCTTTCTGGTCTGTGGTGGAAAAGGAACTATCCTCAAATAGAAACTACACAGAAGTACTCTGAGAAACTTCTTTGTGATGTGGGCATTCATCTCACAGAGTTGAACCTTTGGTTTGATTGAGCAGTTTTGAGACAATCTTTCCATAGAATCTGGAAGTGAATATTTGGAGAACTTTGAGATCCATTTTGGAGAAGGAGATATCTTTAAATAAAAACTACACAGAAGCATTCTGAGAAACATCCTTGTGAGGTGTGCACTGAAGTCACAGAGTTGAAACTGTCTTTTGATTCAGCAGTTTTGAATCTCTCTTTTTGCAGAACCTGTGAGTGGATATTTGGAGCGCTTTGAGGCCTACTGTGGAAAACCAAATATCTTCACTATAAAAACTACACAGAAAGCATCCTGAGAAACTTTTTTTGTGATGTGGTCTTTCAGCTAATGGAGTAGAAACTATCTTTTGATTGAGCAGTTTTGAATCTCTCTTTTTGCAGAATCTACGAGTGGATATTTGGAGAACTTTGAGGCGTACTGTGGAAAATCGAATATCTTCGCATAAAAACTACACAGAAGCATTCTGAGAAACTTCTCTGTCATACGTACATTCATCTCACAGGGTTGATCCTATTTCATGATTGAGCAGTTTTGGAACACTCTTTTTGTAGAATCTGCAAGTGAATATTTGGAGCTCCTTGGGGCCTACTGTGGAAAAACAAATATCTTCACATAAAAACTACACAGAAGCATTCTGAGAAACTACTTTGTGATGTGTGCATTCATCCCACAGAGTAGAACCTTTCTTTTGATTGAGCAGTTTCGAAACACTCTTTTGGTGGAATCTGCAAGTGGACATTTGGAAAGCTTTGAGGCCTATTGTGGAAAGGGAAATATCTTCAAATAAAAACCACCCAGAAGTACTCTGTGAAACTTCTTTGTGATGTATGCATTCAACTCACAGTGTTGAACCTATGTTTTGATTGAGCAGTTTGGAATCTCTCTTTCTGTAGAATCTGCAAGTGAATATTTGGAGCCCTATTTCGCCCTATACTGGAAAAGCAATTATCTTCAAATAAAAACTGCACAGAAGCACTCAGAGAAACTTCTTTGTGATGAATGCATTCATCACACAGAGTTGAACCTTTGTTTTGATTTAGCAGTTTGAGACAATCTTTCCGTAGAATCTTGAAGTGAATATTTGGAGGGCTTGGAGTTCTGTTTTAGAGAAGAAGATATCTTCATCAAAAACTACACAGAAGCTTTCCGAGAAACTTCTTTGTGATGTGTGCATTCAACTATCGGAGTTGAACCTATCTTATGATTGAGGAGTTTGGAAACACTCTTTGTAGAGTCTGCAAGTGGATATTTACAGAGATTTGAGGCCTATTGTGGAAAAGGAAGTATCTTCACATAAAAACCACACAGAAGCACTCTGAAAAACATCTTTGGGATGTGTGCATTCAACTAACCGTGTTGAAACAATGTTTTGATTGAGCAGCTTAGAATCTCTCTTTTTGTAGGAAATGCAAGTGGATATTTGGAGCCCCATTTCGCCCTATGGTGGAAAACGAAACATACTCACAAGAAAGCTGCAGAGAAGCATTCTGAGAAACTTCTTTGCGATGTTGGCATTCAACTCACAGAGTCGAATCTATCTTTTGATAGAGCAGTTTTGTATCTCTCTTTTTGCAGAATCTGCAAGTGGATATTTGGAAAGCTTTGAGGCCTATTGTGGAAAGGGAAATATCCTCAAATAAAAACTACCCAGAAGCACTCTGTGAAACTTCTTTGTGATGTGTGCATTCAACTCACAGTGTTGAACCTATGTTTTGATTGAGCAGTTTGGAATCTCTCCTTTTGTAGAATCTGCAAGTGAATATTTGGAGCCCTATTTCGCCCTATACTGGAAAAGCAAATATCTTCAAATAAAAACTACACAGAGGCATTCAGAGAAACTTCTCTGTGATGAGTGCATTCACCACACAGAGTTGAACATTTGTTTAGATTTAGCAGTGTTGAGACAATCTTTCCGTAGAATCTTGAAGTGAATATTTGGAGGGCTTTGAGACCTGCTTTGGAGAAGGAGATATCTTCATATAAAAACTACACAGAAGCTTTCTGAGAAACACCCTTGTGAGGTGTGCATCGAAGTCACAGAGTTAAACCTATCTTTTGATTCAGCAGATTTGAATCTCTCTTTTTGCAGAATCTGCGAGTGGATATTTGGAGTGCTTGGAAGCCTGCTGTGGAAAATCAAATATCTTCACAAAAAAAACTACACAGAAGCATTCTGAGAAACTTCTTTGTGATGTGTGCATTGATCTCACAGAGTTGAAAGTTTATTTTGATTGAGCTGTTTTGAAACACTCTTTTTCTAGAATCTGCAAGTGGATAATTGGGGAGATTTGAGGCATATTGTGGAAAAGCAAATATCTTCATATAAAAACTATACAGAAACCTTCTGAGAAACATCTTTGTGATGTGTGCATTCAGCTCACAGAGCTGGACCTAACTTTTGAGTGACCAGTTTTGAATCTCTCTTTTTGTACAATATGCAAGTGGATATTTGGAGCGATTTGAGGCCTACATTTGAAAATCAAATATCTTCCCTTAAAAACTACACAGAAACATTCTCAGAAATTGTTTGTCATGTGTGCTTTCCAATTACCAAGTTGAACCTATCTTGTGATTGAGCAGTTTTGAATCTCTCTTTTTGTGGAATCGGCAAGTGGATATTTTTAGCCCTTTGCGGACTGTGGTGGAAAAGGAATTATCTTCAAATCAATTCTACACAGAAGCATTCAGACAAACTTCTTTGTGATGAGTGCATTGGTCACACAGAATTGAACCTTCCCTTTGATTGAGCAATTCTGAAACACTCTTTTGGAGGGTCTGCAAGTGGACATTTTAGAGCTTTGGGACAACTGTGGAAAAGTAAATATCTTCACATAAAAAATTCACGGAAGCATTCTGAGAAACTTCTTTGGAGGTGTGCATTCAACTCACAGAGTTGAACCTATCTTTTCATTGAGCAGTTTTGAATCTCTCATTTTGTAGACTCTGCTCGCAGATATTTGGAGAGCTTTGAGGCCTATTGTGGAAAAGGAAATATCTTCACATAAAAACACACAGAAGCACTCTGAGAAACTTCTTTGTGAGGTGTGCTTTCAACTCACAGAGTTGAACCTATCTTTTGATTGAGAAGTTTTGAATCTCTCTTTTTGTAGAAGCTGCATGTGGATATTTGGAGACGTTTGTGGCCTATGGTAGAAAAGAAAATATCTTCAAATAAAAACTAGACAGACGCATTTTGAGAAAATTCTCTGTGCTGTGTGCATTCATATCACATGGTTGAAACTACCTTTGGATTGAGCAGTTTTGAATCTCACTTTTTGTACCATCTGCAATGGATATTTGGAGCCCTTTCTGGTCTGTGGTGGAAAAGGAACTATCCTCAAATAGAAACTACACAGAAGTACTCTGAGAAACTTCTTTGTGATGTGGACATTCATCTCACAGAGTTGAACCTTTGGTTTGATTGAGCAGTTTTGAGACAATCTTTCCATAGAATCTGGAAGTGAATATTTGGAGAACTTTGAGATCCATTTTGGAGAAGGAGATATCTTTATATGAAAACTACACAGAAGCATTCTGAGAAACATCCTTGTGAGGTGTGCACTGAAGTCACAGAGTTGAAACTGTCTTTTGATTCAGCAGTTTTGAATCTCTCTTTTTGCAGAATCTGTGAGTGGATATTTGGAGCGCTTTGAGGCCTACTGTGGAAAACCAAATATCTTCACATAAAAACTACACAGAAGCATCCTGAGAAACTTTTTTTGTGATGTGGTCTTTCAGCTAATGGAGTAGAAACTATCTTTTGATTGAGCAGTTTTGAATCTCTCTTTTTGCAGAATCTACGAGTGGATAATTGGAGAACTTTGAGGCGTACTGTGGAAAATCGAATATCTTCGCATAAAAACTACACAGAAGCATTCTGAGAAACTTCTCTGTCATACGTACATTCATCTCACAGGGTTGATCCTATTTCATGATTGAGCAGTTTTGGAACACTCTTTTTGTAGAATCTGCAAGTGAATATTTGGAGCTCTTTGGGGCCTACTGTGGAAAAACAAATATCTTCACATAAAAACTACACAGAAGCATTCTGAGAAACTACTTTGTGATGTGTGCATTCATCCCACAGAGTAGAACCTTTCTTTTGATTGAGCAGTTTCGAAACACTCTTTTGGTGGAATCTGCAAGTGGACATTTGGAAAGCTTTGAGGCCTATTGTGGAAAGGGAAATATCTTCAAATAAAAACCACCCAGAAGTACTCTGTGAAACTTCTTTGCGATGTATGCATTCAACTCACAGTGTTGAACCTATGTTTTGATTGAGCAGTTTGGAATCTCTCTTTCTGTAGAATCTGCAAGTGAATATTTGGAGCCCTATTTCGCCCTATACTGGAAAAGCAATTATCTTCAAATAAAAACTGCACAGAAGCATTCAGAGAAACTTCTTTGAGATGAATGCATTCATGACACAGAGTTGAAACTTTGTTTTGATTTAGGAGTTTTGAGACAATCTTTCCGTAGAATCTTGAAGTGAATATTTGGAGGGCTTGGAGTTCTGTTTTAGAGAAGAAGATATCTTCATCAAAAACTACACAGAAGCTTTCTGAGAAACTTCTTTGTGATGTGTGCATTCAACTATCGGAGTTGAACCTATCTTATGATTGAGGAGTTT
This sequence comes from Homo sapiens, assembly GCF_000001405.40. NCBI lineage: Eukaryota > Metazoa > Chordata > Mammalia > Primates > Hominidae > Homo > Homo sapiens. The sequence goes on from NC_000015.10 coordinate 18,259,665, forward strand.
GGAAACACTCTTTGTAGAGTCTGCAAGTGGATATTTACAGAGATTTGAGGCCTATTGTGGAAAAGGAAGTATCTTCACATAAAAACCACACAGAAGCACTCTGAAAAACATCTTTGGGATGTGTGCATTCAACTAACCGTGTTGAAACAATGTTTTGATTGAGCAGCTGAGAATCTCTCTTTTTGTAGGAAATGCAAGTGGATATTTGGAGCCCCATTTCGCCCTATGGTGGAAAACGAAACATACTCACAAAAAAGCTGCAGAGAAGCATTCTGAGAAACTTCTTTGCGATGTTGGCATTCAACTCACAGAGTCGAATCTATCTTTTGATAGAGCAGTTTTGTATCTCTCTTTTTGCAGAATCTGCAAGTGGATATTTGGAAAGCTTTGAGGCCTATTGTGGAAAGGGAAATATCCTCAAATAAAAACTACCCAGAAGCACTCTGTGAAACTTCCTTTGTGATGTGTGCATTCAACTCACAGTGTTGAACCTATGTTTTGATTGAGCAGTTTGGAATCTCTCCTTTTGTAGAATCTGCAAGTGAATATTTGGAGCCCTATTTCGCCCTATACTGGAAAAGCAAATATCTTCAAATAAAAACTACACAGAGGCATTCAGAGAAACTTCTCTGTGATGAGTGCATTCATCACACAGAGTTGAACATTTGTTTAGATTTAGCAGTGTTGAGACAATCTTTCCGTAGAATCTTGAAGTGAATATTTGGAGGGCTTTGAGACCTGCTTTGGAGAAGGAGATATCTTCATATAAAAACTACACAGAAGCTTTCTGAGGAACACCCTTGTGAGGTGTGCATTGAAGTCACAGAGTTAAACCTATCTTTTGATTCAGCAGATTTGAATCTCTCTTTTTGCAGAATCTGCGAGTGGATATTTGGAGTGCTTGGAAGCCTGCTGTGGAAAATCAAATATCTTCACAAAAAAAACTACACAGAAGCATTCTGAGAAACTTCTTTGTGATGTGTGCATTGATCTCACAGAGTTGAAAGTTTATTTTGATTGAGCTGTTTTGAAACACTCTTTTTCTAGAATCTGCAAGTGGATAATTGGGGAGATTTGAGGCATATTGTGGAAAAGCCAATATCTTCATATAGAAACTATACAGAAACCTACTGAGAAACATCTTTGTGATGTGTGCATTCAGCTCACAGAGCTGGACCTAACTTTTGAGTGACCAGTTTTGAATCTCTCTTTTTGTACAATATGCAAGTGGATATTTGGAGCGATTTGAGGCCTACATTTGAAAATCAAATATCTTCCCTTAAAAACTACACAGAAACATTCTCAGAAATTGTTTGTCATGTGTGCTTTCCAATTACCAAGTTGAACCTATCTTGTGATTGAGCAGTTTTGAATCTCTCTTTTTGTGGAATCGGCAAGTGGATATTTTTAGCCCTTTGCGGACTGTGGTGGAAAAGGAATTATCTTCAAATCAATTCTACACAGAAGCATTCAGACAAACTTCTTTGTGATGAGTGCATTGGTCACACAGAATTGAACCTTCCCTTTGATTGAGCAATTCTGAAACACTCTTTTGGAGGGTCTGCAAGTGGACATTTTAGAGCTTTGGGACAACTGTGGAAAAGTAAATATCTTCACATAAAAACTACACGGAAGCATTCTGAGAAACTTCTTTGGAGGTGTGCATTCAACTCACAGAGTTGAACCTATCTTTTCATTGAGCAGTTTTGAATCTCTCATTTTGTAGACTCTGCTCGCAGATATTTGGAGAGCTTTGAGGCCTATTGTGGAAAAGGAAATATCTTCACATAAAAACACACAGAAGCACTCTGAGAAACTTCTTTGTGAGGTGTGCTTTCAACTCACAGAGTTGAACCTATCTTTTGATTGAGAAGTTTTGAATCTCTCTTTTTGTAGAAGCTGCATGTGGATATTTGGAGACGTTTGTAGCCTATGGTAGAAAAGGAAATATCTTCAAATAAAAACTAGACAGACGCATTTTGAGAAAATTCTCTGTGCTGTGTGCATTCATATCACATGGTTGAAACTACCTTTGGATTGAGCAGTTTTGAATCTCACTTTTTGTACCATCTGCAATGGATATTTGGAGCCCTTTCTGGTCTGTGGTGGAAAAGGAACTATCCTCAAATAGAAACTACACAGAAGTACTCTGAGAAACTTCTTTGTGATGTGGGCATTCATCTCACAGAGTTGAACCTTTGGTTTGATTGAGCAGTTTTGAGACAATCTTTCCATAGAATCTGGAAGTGAATATTTGGAGAACTTTGAGATCCATTTTGGAGAAGGAGATATCTTTATATGAAAACTACACAGAAGCATTCTGAGAAACATCCTTGTGAGGTGTGCACTGAAGTCACAGTGTTGAAACTGTCTTTTGATTCAGCAGTTTTGAATCTCTCTTTTTGCAGAATCTGTGAGTGGATATTTGGAGCGCTTTGAGGCCTACTGTGGAAAACCAAATATCTTCACATAAAAACTACACAGAAGCATCCTGAGAAACTTTTTTTGTGATGTGGTCTTTCAGCTAATGGAGTAGAAACTATCTTTTGATTGAGCAGTTTTGAGTCTCTCTTTTTGCAGGATCTACGAGTGGATAATTGGAGAACTTTGAGGCGTACTGTGGAAAATCGAATATCTTCGCATAAAAACTACACAGAAGCATTCTGAGAAACTTCTCTGTCATACGTACATTCATCTCACAGGGTTGATCCTATTTCATGATTGAGCAGTTTTGGAACACTCTTTTTGTAGAATCTGCAAGTGAATATTTGGAGCTCTTTGGGGCCTACTGTGGAAAAACAAATATCTTCACATAAAAACTACACAGAAGCATTCTGAGAAACTACTTTGTGATGTGTGCATTCATCCCACAGAGTAGAACCTTTCTTTTGATTGAGCAGTTTCGAAACACTCTTTTGGTGGAATCTGCAAGTGGACATTTGGAAAGCTTTGAGGCCTATTGTGGAAAGGGAAATATCTTCAAATAGAAACCACCCAGAAGTACTCTGTGAAACTTCTTTGCGATGTATGCATTCAACTCACAGTGTTGAACCTATGTTTTGATTGAGCAGTTTGGAATCTCTCTTTCTGTAGAATCTGCAAGTGAATATTTGGAGCCCTATTTCGCCCTATACTGGAAAAGCAATTATCTTCAAATAAAAACTGCACAGAAGCATTCAGAGAAACTTCTTTGAGATGAATGCATTCATGACACAGAGTTGAAACTTTGTTTTGATTTAGGAGTTTTGAGACAATCTTTCCGTAGAATCTTGAAGTGAATATTTGGAGGGCTTGGAGTTCTGTTTTAGAGAAGGAGATATCTTCATCAAAAACTACACAGAAGCTTTCTGAGAAACTTCTTTGTGATGTGTGCATTCAACTATCGGAGTTGAACCTATCTTATGATTGAGCAGTTTGGAAACACTCTTTGTAGAGTCTGCAAGTGGATATTTACAGAGATTTGAGGCCTATTGTGGAAAAGGAAGTATCTTCACATAAAAACCACACAGAAGCACTCTGAAAAACGTCTTTGGGATGTGTGCATTCAACTAACCGTGTTGAAACAATGTTTTGATTGAGCAGCTTAGAATCTCTCTTTTTGTAGGAAATGCAAGTGGATATTTGGAGCCCCATTTCGCCCTATGGTGGAAAACGAAACATACTCACAAAAAAGCTGCAGAGAAGCATTCTGAGAAACTTCTTTGCGATGTTGGCATTCAACTCACAGAGTCGAATCTATCTTTTGATAGAGCAGTTTTGTATCTCTCTTTTTGCAGAATCTGCAAGTGGATATTTGGAAAGCTTTGAGGCCTATTGTGGAAAGGGAAATATCCTCAAATAAAAACTACCCAGAAGCACTCTGTGAAACTTCTTTGTGATGTGTGCATTCAACTCACAGTGTTGAACCTATGTTTTGATTGAGCAGTTTGGAATCTCTCCTTTTGTAGAATCTGCAAGTGAATATTTGGAGCCCTATTTCGCCCTATACTGGAAAAGCAAATATCTTCAAATAAAAACTACACAGAAGCATTCAGAGAAACTTCTCTGTGATGAGTGCATTCATCACACAGAGTTGAACATTTGTTTAGATTTAGCAGTGTTGAGACAATCTTTCCGTAGAATCTTGAAGTGAATATTTGGAGGGCTTTGAGACCTGCTTTGGAGAAGGAGATATCTTCATATAAAAACTACACAGAAGCTTTCTGAGAAACACCCTTGTGAGGTGTGCATTGAAGTCACAGAGTTAAACCTATCTTTTGATTCAGCAGATTTGAATCTCTCTTTTTGCAGAATCTGCGAGTGGATATTTGGAGTGCTTGGAAGCCTGCTGTGGAAAATCAAATATCTTCACAAAAAAAACTACACAGAAGCATTCTGAGAAACTTCTTTGTGATGTGTGCATTGATCTCACAGAGTTGAAAGTTTATTTGGATTGAGCTGTTTTGAAACACTCTTTTTCTAGAATCTGCAAGTGGATAATTGGGGAGATTTGAGGCATATTGTGGAAAAGCAAATATCTTCATATAGAAACTATACAGAAACCTTCTGAGAAACATCTTTGTGATGTGTGCATTCAGCTCACAGAGCTGGACCTAACTTTTGAGTGACCAGTTTTGAATCTCTCTTTCTGTACAATATGCAAGTGGATATTTGGAGTGATTTGAGGCCTACATTTGAAAATCAAATATCTTCCCTTAAAAACTACACAGAAACATTCTCAGAAATTGTTTGTCATGTGTGCTTTCCAATTACCAAGTTGAACCTATCTTGTGATTGAGCAGTTTTGAATCTCTCTTTTTGTGGAATCGGCAAGTGGATATTTTTAGCCCTTTGCGGACTGTGGTGGAAAAGGAATTATCTTCAAATCAATTCTACACAGAAGCATTCAGACAAACTTCTTTGTGATGAGTGCATTGGTCACACAGAATTGAACCTTCCCTTTGATTGAGCAATTCTGAAACACTCTTTTGGAGGGTCTGCAAGTGGATATTTTAGAGCTTTGGGACAACTGTGGAAAAGTAAATATCTTCACATAAAAACTACACGGAAGCATTCTGAGAAACTTCTTTGGAGGTGTGCATTCAACTCACAGAGTTGAACCTATCTTTTCATTGAGCAGTTTTGAATCTCTCATTTTGTAGACTCTGCTCGCAGATATTTGGAGAGCTTTGAGGCCAATTGTGGAAAAGGAAATATCTTCACATAAAAACACACAGAAGCACTCTGAGAAACTTCTTTGTGAGGTGTGCTTTCAACTCACAGAGTTGAACCTATCTTTTGATTGAGAAGTTTTGAATCTCTCTTTTTGTAGAAGCTGCATGTGGATATTTGGAGACGTTTGTGGCCTATGGTAGAAAAGGAAATATCTTCAAATAAAAACTAGACAGACGCATTTTGAGAAAATTCTCTGTGCTGTGTGCATTCATATCACATGGTTGAAACTACCTTTGGATTCAGCAGTTTTGAATCTCACTTTTTGTACCATCTGCAATGGATATTTGGAGCCCTTTCTGGTCTGTGGTGGAAAAGGAACTATCCTCAAATAGAAACTACACAGAAGTACTCTGAGAAACTTCTTTGTGATGTGGGCATTCATCTCACAGAGTTGAACCTTTGGTTTGATTGAGCAGTTTTGAGACAATCTTTCCATAGAATCTGGAAGTGAATATTTGGAGAACTTTGAGATCCATTTTGGAGAAGGAGATATCTTTATATGAAAACTACACAGAAGCATTCTGAGAAACATCCTTGTGAGGTGTGCACTGAAGTCACAGAGTTGAAACTGTCTTTTGATTCAGCAGTTTTGAATCTCTCTTTTTGCAGAGTCTGTGAGCGGATATTTGGAGCGCTTTGAGGCCTACTGTGGAAAACCAAATATGTTCACATAAAAACTACACAGAAGCATCCTGAGAAACTTTTTTTGTGATGTGGTCTTTCAGCTAATGGAGTAGAAACTATCTTTTGATTGAGCAGTTTTGAATCTCTCTTTTTGCAGAATCTACGAGTGGATAATTGGAGAACTTTGAGGCGTACTGTGGAAAATCGAATATCTTCGCATAAAAACTACACAGAAGCATTCTGAGAAACTTCTCTGTCATACGTACATTCATCTCACATGGTTGATCCTATTTCATGATTGAGCAGTTTTGGAACACTCTTTTTGTAGAATCTGCAAGTGAATATTTGGAGCTCCTTGGGGCCTACTGTGGAAAAACAAATATCTTCACATAAAAACTACACAGAAGCATTCTGAGAAACTACTTTGTGATGTGTGCATTCATCCCACAGAGTAGAACCTTTCTTTTGATTGAGCAGTTTCGAAACACTCTTTTGGTGGAATCTGCAAGTGGACATTTGGAAAGCTTTGAGGCCTATTGTGGAAAGGGAAATATCTTCAAATAAAAACCACCCAGAAGTACTCTGTGAAACTTCTTTGCGATGTATGCATTCAACTCACAGTGTTGAACCTATGTTTTGATTGAGCAGTTTGGAATCTCTCTTTCTGTAGAATCTGCAAGTGAATATTTGGAGCCCTATTTCGCCCTATACTGGAAAAGCAATTATCTTCAAATAAAAACTGCCCAGAAGCACTCAGAGAAACTTCTTTGTGATGAATGCATTCATCACACAGAGTTGAACCTTTGTTTTGATTTAGCAGTTTGAGACAATCTTTCCGTAGAATCTTGAAGTGAATATTTGGAGGGCTTGGAGTTCTGTTTTAGAGAAGAAGATATCTTCATCAAAAACTACACAGAAGCTTTCCGAGAAACTTCTTTGTGATGTGTGCATTCAACTATCGGAGTTGAACCTATCTTATGATTGAGGAGTTTGGAAACACTCTTTGTAGAGTCTGCAAGTGGATATTTACAGAGATTTGAGGCCTATTGTGGAAAAGGAAGTATCTTCACATAAAAACCACACAGAAGCACTCTGAAAAACATCTTTGGGATGTGTGCATTCAACTAACCGTGTTGAAACAATGTTTTGATTGAGCAGCTTAGAATCTCTCTTTTTGTAGGAAATGCAAGTGGATATTTGGAGCCCCATTTCGCCCTATGGTGGAAAACGAAACATACTCACAAAAAAGCTGCAGAGAAAGCATTCTGAGAAACTTCTTTGCGATGTTGGCATTCAACTCACAGAGTCGAATCTATCTTTTGATAGAGCAGTTTTGTATCTCTCTTTTTGCAGAATCTGCAAGTGGATATTTGGAAAGCTTTGAGGCCTATTGTGGAAAGGGAAATATCCTCAAATAAAAACTACCCAGAAGCACTCTGTGAAACTTCTTTGTGATGTGTGCATTCAACTCACAGTGTTGAACCTATGTTTTGATTGAGCAGTTTGGAATCTCTCCTTTTGTAGAATCTGCAAGTGAATATTTGGAGCCCTATTTCGCCCTATACTGGAAAAGCAAATATCTTCAAATAAAAACTACACAGAGGCATTCAGAGAAACTTCTCTGTGATGAGTGCATTCATCACACAGAGTTGAACATTTGTTTAGATTTAGCAGTGTTGAGACAATCTTTCCGTAGAATCTTGAAGTGAATATTTGGAGGGCTTTGAGACCTGCTTTGGAGAAGGAGATATCTTCATATAAAAACTACACAGAAGCTTTCTGAGAAACACCCTTGTGAGGTGTGCATTGAAGTCACAGAGTTAAACCTATCTTTTGATTCAGCAGATTTGAATCTCTCTTTTTGCAGAATCTGCGAGTGGATATTTGGAGTGCTTGGAAGCCTGCTGTGGAAAATCAAATATCTTCACAAAAAAAACTACACAGAAGCATTCTGAGAAACTTCTTTGTGATGTGTGCATTGATCTCACAGAGTTGAAAGTTTATTTTGATTGAGCTGTTTTGAAACACTCTTTTTCTAGAATCTGCAAGTGGATAATTGGGGAGATTTGAGGCATATTGTGGAAAAGCAAATATCTTCATATAGAAACTATACAGAAACCTTCTGAGAAACATCTTTGTGATGTGTGCATTCAGCTCACAGAGCTGGACCTAACTTTTGAGTGACCAGTTTTGAATCTCTCTTTTTGTACAATATGCAAGTGGATATTTGGAGCGATTTGAGGCCTACATTTGAAAATCAAATATCTTCCCTTAAAAACTACACAGAAACATTCTCAGAAATTGTTTGTCATGTGTGCTTTCCAATTACCAAGTTGAACCTATCTTGTGATTGAGCAGTTTTGAATCTCTCTTTTTGTGGAATCGGCAAGTGGATATTTTTAGCCCTTTGCGGACTGTGGTGGAAAAGGAATTATCTTCAAATCAATTCTACACAGAAGCATTCAGACAAACTTCTTTGTGATGAGTGCATTGGTCACACAGAATTGAACCTTCCCTTTGATTGAGCAATTCTGAAACACTCTTTTGGAGGGTCTGCAAGTGGACATTTTAGAGCTTTGGGACAACTGTGGAAAAGTAAATATCTTCACATAAAAACTACACGGAAGCATTCTGAGAAACTTCTTTGGAGGTGTGCATTCAACTCACAGAGTTGAACCTATCTTTTCATTGAGCAGTTTTGAATCTCTCATTTTGTAGACTCTGCTCGCAGATATTTGGAGAGCTTTGAGGCCTATTGTGGAAAAGGAAATATCTTCACATAAAAACACACAGAAGCACTCTGAGAAACTTCTTTGTGAGGTGTGCTTTCAACTCACAGAGTTGAACCTATCTTTTGATTGAGAAGTTTTGAATCTCTCTTTTTGTAGAAGCTGCATGTGGATATTTGGAGACGTTTGTGGCCTATGGTAGAAAAGGAAATATCTTCAAATAAAAACTAGACAGACGCATTTTGAGAAAATTCTCTGTGCTGTGTGCATTCATATCACATGGTTGAAACTACCTTTGGATTGAGCAGTTTTGAATCTCACTTTTTGTACCATCTGCAATGGATATTTGGAGCCCTTTCTGGTCTGTGGTGGAAAAGGAACTATCCTCAAATAGAAACTACACAGAAGTACTCTGAGAAACTTCTTTGTGATGTGTGCATTCATCTCACAGAGTTGAACCTTTGGTTTGATTGAGCAGTTTTGAGACAATCTTTCCATAGAATCTGGAAGTGAATATTTGGAGAACTTTGAGATCCATTTTGGAGAAGGAGATATCTTTATATAAAAACTACACAGAAGCATTCTGAGAAACATCCTTGTGAGGTGTGCACTGAAGTCACAGAGTTGAAACTGTCTTTTGATTCAGCAGTTTTGAATCTCTCTTTTTGCAGAATCTGTGAGTGGATATTTGGAGCGCTTTGAGGCCTACTGTGGAAAACCAAATATCTTCACATAAAAACTACACAGAAGCATCCTGAGAAACTTTTTTTGTGATGTGGTCTTTCAGCTAATGGAGTAGAAACTATCTTTTGATTGAGCAGTTTTGAATCTCTCTTTTTGCAGAATCTACGAGTGGATAATTGGAGAACTTTGAGGCGTACTGTGGAAAGTCGAATATCTTCGCATAAAAACTACACAGAAGCATTCTGAGAAACTTCTCTGTCATACGTACATTCATCTCACAGGGTTGATCCTATTTCATGATTGAGCAGTTTCGGAACACTCTTTTTGTAGAATCTGCAAGTGAATATTTGGAGCTCCTTGGGGCCTACTGTGGAAAAACAAATATCTTCACATAAAAACTACACAGAAGCATTCTGAGAAACTACTTTGTGATGTGTGCATTCATCCCACAGAGTAGAACCTTTCTTTTGATTGAGCAGTTTCGAAACACTCTTTTGGTGGAATCTGCAAGTGGACATTTGGAAAGCTTTGAGGCCTATTGTGGAAAGGGAAATATCTTCAAATAAAAACCACCCAGAAGTACTCTGTGAAACTTCTTTGCGATGTATGCATTCAACTCACAGTGTTGAACCTATGTTTTGATTGAGCAGTTTGGAATCTCTCTTTCTGTAGAATCTGCAAGTGAATATTTGGAGCCCTATTTCGCCCTATACTGGAAAAGCAATTATCTTCAAATAAAAACTGCACAGAAGCATTCAGAGAAACTTCTTTGAGATGAATGCATTCATGACACAGAGTTGAAACTTTGTTTTGATTTAGGAGTTTTGAGACAATCTTTCCGTAGAATCTTGAAGTGAATATTTGGAGGGCTTGGAGTTCTGTTTTAGAGAAGGAGATATCTTCATCAAAAACTCACAGAAGCTTTCCGAGAAACTTCTTTGTGATGTGTGCATTCAACTATCGGAGTTGAACCTATCTTATGATTGAGGAGTTTGGAAACACTCTTTGTAGAGTCTGCAAGTGGATATTTACAGAGATTTGAGGCCTATTGTGGAAAAGGAAGTATCTTCACATAAAAACCACACAGAAGCACTCTGAGAAACATCTTTGGGATGTGTGCATTCAACTAACCGTGTTGAAACAATGTTTTGATTGAGCAGCTTAGAATCTCTCCTTTTGTAGGAAATGCAAGTGGATATTTGGAGCCCCATTTCGCCCTATGGTGGAAAACGAAACATACTCACAAAAAAGCTGCAGAGAAGCATTCTGAGAAACTTCTTTGCGATGTTGGCATTCAACTCACAGAGTCGAATCTATCTTTTGATAGAGCAGTTTTGTATCTCTCTTTTTGCAGAATCTGCAAGTGGATATTTGGAAAGCTTTGAGGCCTATTGTGGAAAGGGAAATATCCTCAAATAAAAACTACCCAGAAGCACTCTGTGAAACTTCTTTGTGATGTGTGCATTCAACTCACAGTGTTGAACCTATGTTTTGATTGAGCAGTTTGGAATCTCTCCTTTTGTAGAATCTGCAAGTGAATATTTGGAGCCCTATTTCGCCCTATACTGGAAAAGCAAATATCTTCAAATAAAAACTACACAGAGGCATTCAGAGAAACTTCTCTGTGATGAGTGCATTCATCACACAGAGTTGAACATTTGTTTAGATTTAGCAGTGTTGAGACAATCTTTCCGTAGAATCTTGAAGTGAATATTTGGAGGGCTTTGAGACCTGCTTTGGAGAAGGAGATATCTTCATATAAAAACTACACAGAAGCTTTCTGAGAAACACCCTTGTGAGGTGTGCATTGAAGTCACAGAGTTAAACCTATCTTTTGATTCAGCAGATTTGAATCTCTCTTTTTGCAGAATCTGCGAGTGGATATTTGGAGTGCTTGGAAGCCTGCTGTGGAAAATCAAATATCTTCACAAAAAAAACTACACAGAAGCATTCTGAGAAACTTCTTTGTGATGTGTGCATTGATCTCACAGAGTTGAAAGTTTATTTTGATTGAGCTGTTTTGAAACACTCTTTTTCTAGAATCTGCAAGTGCATAATTGGGGAGATTTGAGGCATATTGTGGAAAAGCAAATATCTTCATATAAAAACTATACAGAAACCTTCTGAGAAACATCTTTGTGATGTGTGCATTCAGCTCACAGAGCTGGACCTAACTTTTGAGTGACCAGTTTTGAATCTCTCTTTTTGTACAATATGCAAGTGGATATTTGGAGCGATTTGAGGCCTACATTTGAAAATCAAATATCTTCCCTTAAAAACTACACAGAAACATTCTCAGAAATTGTTTGTCATGTGTGCTTTCCAATTACCAAGTTGAACCTATCTTGTGATTGAGCAGTTTTGAATCTCTCTTTTTGTGGAATCGGCAAGTGGATATTTTTAGCCCTTTGCGGACTGTGGTGGAAAAGGAATTATCTTCAAATCAATTCTACACAGGAAGCATTCAGACAAACTTCTTTGTGATGAGTGCATTGGTCACACAGAATTGAACCTTCCCTTTGATTGAGCAATTCTGAAACACTCTTTTGGAGGGTCTGCAAGTGGACATTTTAGAGCTTTGGGACAACTGTGGAAAAGTAAATATCTTCACATAAAAACTACACGGAAGCATTCTGAGAAACTTCTTTGGAGGTGTGCATTCAACTCACAGAGTTGAACCTATCTTTTCATTGAGCAGTTTTGAATCTCTCATTTTGTAGACTCTGCTCGCAGATATTTGGAGAGCTTTGAGGCCTATTGTGGAAAAGGAAATATCCTCACATAAAAACACACAGAAGCACTCTGAGAAACTTCTTTGTGAGGTGTGCTTTCAACTCACAGAGTTGAACCTATCTTTTGATTGAGAAGTTTTGAATCTCTCTTTTTGTGGAAGCTGCATGTGGATATTTGGAGACGTTTGTGGCCTATGGTAGAAAAGGAAATATCTTCAAATAAAAACTAGACAGACGCATTTTGAGAAAATTCTCTGTGCTGTGTGCATTCATATCACATGGTTGAAACTACCTTTGGATTGAGCAGTTTTGAATCTCACTTTTTGTACCATCTGCAATGGATATTTGGAGCCCTTTCTGGTCTGTGGTGGAAAAGGAACTATCCTCAAATAGAAACTACACAGAAGTACTCTGAGAAACTTCTTTGTGATGTGGGCATTCATCTCACAGAGTTGAACCTTTGGTTTGATTGAGCAGTTTTGAGACAATCTTTCCATAGAATCTGGAAGTGAATATTTGGAGAACTTTGAGATCCATTTTGGAGAAGGAGATATCTTTAAATAAAAACTACACAGAAGCATTCTGAGAAACATCCTTGTGAGGTGTGCACTGAAGTCACAGAGTTGAAACTGTCTTTTGATTCAGCAGTTTGGAATCTCTCTTTTTGCAGAATCTGTGAGTGGATATTTGGAGCGCTTTGAGGCCTACTGTGGAAAACCAAATATCTTCACATAAAAACTACACAGAAGCATCCTGAGAAACTTTTTTTGTGATGTGGTCTTTCAGCTAATGGAGTAGAAACTATCTTTTGATTGAGCAGTTTTGAATCTCTCTTTTTGCAGAATCTACGAGTGGATAATTGGAGAACTTTGAGGCGTACTGTGGAAAGTCGAATATCTTCGCATAAAAACTACACAGAAGCATTCTGAGAAACTTCTCTGTCATACGTACATTCATCTCACAGGGTTGATCCTATTTCATGATTGAGCAGTTTCGGAACACTCTTTTTGTAGAATCTGCAAGTGAATATTTGGAGCTCCTTGGGGCCTACTGTGGAAAAACAAATATCTTCACATAAAAACTACACAGAAGCATTCTGAGAAACTACTTTGTGATGTGTGCATTCATCCCACAGAGTAGAACCTTTCTTTTGATTGAGCAGTTTCGAAACACTCTTTTGGTGGAATCTGCAAGTGGACATTTGGAAAGCTTTGAGGCCTATTGTGGAAAGGGAAATATCTTCAAATAAAAACCACCCAGAAGTACTCTGTGAAACTTCTTTGCGATGTATGCATTCAACTCACAGTGTTGAACCTATGTTTTGATTGAGCAGTTTGGAATCTCTCTTTCTGTAGAATCTGCAAGTGAATATTTGGAGCCCTATTTCGCCCTATACTGGAAAAGCAATTATCTTCAAATAAAAACTGCACAGAAGCACTCAGAGAAACTTCTTTGTGATGAATGCATTCATCACACAGAGTTGAACCTTTGTTTTGATTTAGCAGTTTGAGACAATCTTTCCGTAGAATCTTGAAGTGAATATTTGGAGGGCTTGGAGTTCTGTTTTAGAGAAGGAGATATCTTCATCAAAAACTACACAGAAGCTTTCTGAGAAACTTCTTTGTGATGTGTGCATTCAGCTATCGGAGTTGAACCTATCTTATGATTGAGCAGTTTGGAAACACTCTTTGTAGAGTCTGCAAGTGGATATTTACAGAGATTTGAGGCCTATTGTGGAAAAGGAAGTATCTTCACATAAAAACCACACAGAAGCACTCTGAAAAACATCTTTGGGATGTGTGCATTCAACTAACCGTGTTGAAACAATGTTTTGATTGAGCAGCTTAGAATCTCTCTTTTTGTAGGAAATGCAAGTGGATATTTGGAGCCCCATTTCGCCCTATGGTGGAAAACGAAACATACTCACAAAAAAGCTGCAGAGAAGCATTCTGAGAAACTTCTTTGCGATGTTGGCATTCAACTCACAGCGTCGAATCTATCTTTTGATAGAGCAGTTTTGTATCTCTCTTTTTGCAGAATCTGCAAGTGGATATTTGGAAAGCTTTGAGGCCTATTGTGGAAAGGGAAATATCCTCAAATAAAAACTACCCAGAAGCACTCTGTGAAACTTCTTTGTGATGTGTGCATTCAACTCACAGTGTTGAACCTATGTTTTGATTGAGCAGTTTGGAATCTCTCCTTTTGTAGAATCTGCAAGTGAATATTTGGAGCCCTATTTCGCCCTATACTGGAAAAGCAAATATCTTCAAATAAAAACTACACAGAGGCCTTCAGAGAAACTTCTCTGTGATGAGTGCATTCATCACACAGAGTTGAACATTTGTTTAGATTTAGCAGTGTTGAGACAATCTTTCCGTAGAATCTTGAAGTGAATATTTGGAGGGCTTTGAGACCTGCTTTGGAGAAGGAGATATCTTCATATAAAAACTACACAGAAGCTTTCTGAGAAACACCCTTGTGAGGTGTGCATTGAAGTCACAGAGTTAAACCTATCTTTTGATTCAGCAGATTTGAATCTCTCTTTTTGCAGAATCTGCGAGTGGATATTTGGAGTGCTTGGAAGCCTGCTGTGGAAAATCAAATATCTTCACAAAAAAAACTACACAGAAGCATTCTGAGAAACTTCTTTGTGATGTGTGCATTGATCTCACAGGGTTGAAAGTTTATTTGGATTGAGCTGTTTTGAAACACTCTTTTTCTAGAATCTGCAAGTGGATAATTGGGAGATTTGAGGCATATTGTGGAAAAGCAAATATCTTCATATAGAAACTATACAGAAACCTTCTGAGAAACATCTTTGTGATGTGTGCATTCAGCTCACAGAGCTGGACCTAACTTTTGAGTGACCAGTTTTGAATCTCTCTTTTTGTACAATATGCAAGTGGATATTTGGAGCGATTTGAGGCCTACATTTGAAAATCAAATATCTTCCCTTAAAAACTACACAGAAACATTCTCAGAAATTGTTTGTCATGTGTGCTTTCCAATTACCAAGTTGAACCTATCTTGTGATTGAGCAGTTTTGAATCTCTCTTTTTGTGGAATCGGCAAGTGGATATTTTTAGCCCTTTGTGGACTGTGGTGGAAAAGGAATTATCTTCAAATCAATTCTACACAGAAAGCATTCAGACAAACTTCTTTGTGATGAGTGCATTGGTCACACAGGAATTGAACCTTCCCTTTGATTGAGCAATTCTGAAACACTCTTTTGGAGGGTCTGCAAGTGGATATTTTAGAGCTTTGGGACAACTGTGGAAAAGTAAATATCTTCACATAAAAACTACACGGAAGCATTCTGAGAAACTTCTTTGGAGGTGTGCATTCAACTCACAGAGTTGAACCTATCTTTTCATTGAGCAGTTTTGAATCTCTCATTTTGTAGACTCTGCTCGCAGATATTTGGAGAGCTTTGAGGCCTATTGTGGAAAAGGAAATATCTTCACATAAAAACACACAGAAGCACTCTGAGAAACTTCTTTGTGAGGTGTGCTTTCAACTCACAGAGTTGAACCTATCTTTTGATTGAGAAGTTTTGAATCTCTCTTTTTGTAGAAGCTGCATGTGGATATTTGGAGACGTTTGTGGCCTATGGTAGAAAAGGAAATATCTTCAAATAAAAACTAGACAGACGCATTTTGAGAAAATTCTCTGTGCTGTGTGCATTCATATCACATGGTTGAAACTACCTTTGGATTGAGCAGTTTTGAATCTCACTTTTTGTACCATCTGCAATGGATATTTGGAGCCCTTTCTGGTCTGTGGTGGAAAAGGAACTATCCTCAAATAGAAACTACACAGAAGTACTCTGAGAAACTTCTTTGTGATGTGGGCATTCATCTCACAGAGTTGAACCTTTGGTTTGATTGAGCAGTTTTGAGACAATCTTTCCATAGAATCTGGAAGTGAATATTTGGAGAACTTTGAGATCCATTTTGGAGAAGGAGATATCTTTATATGAAAACTACACAGAAGCATTCTGAGAAACATCCTTGTGAGGTGTGCACTGAAGTCACAGAGTTGAAACTGTCTTTTGATTCAGCAGTTTTGAATCTCTCTTTTTGCAGAATCTGTGAGTGGATATTTGGAGCGCTTTGAGGCCTACTGTGGAAAACCAAATATCTTCACATAAAAACTACACAGAAGCATCCTGAGAAACTTTTTTTGTGATGTGGTCTTTCAGCTAATGGAGTAGAAACTATCTTTTGATTGAGCAGTTTTGAATCTCTCTTTTTGCAGGATCTACGAGTGGATAATTGGAGAACTTTGAGGCGTACTGTGGAAAGTCGAATATCTTCGCATAAAAACTACACAGAAGCATTCTGAGAAACTTCTCTGTCATACGTACATTCATCTCACAGGGTTGATCCTATTTCATGATGGAGCAGTTTTGGAACACTCTTTTTGTAGAATCTGCAAGTGAATATTTGGAGCTCTTTGGGGCCTACTGTGGAAAAACAAATATCTTCACATAAAAACTACACAGAAGCATTCTGAGAAACTACTTTGTGATGTGTGCATTCATCCCACAGAGTAGAACCTTTCTTTTGATTGAGCAGTTTCGAAACACTCTTTTGGTGGAATCTGCAAGTGGACATTTGGAAAGCTTTGAGGCCTATTGTGGAAAGGGAAATATCTTCAAATAAAAACCACCCCAGAAGTACTCTGTGAAACTTCTTTGCGATGTATGCATTCAACTCACAGTGTTGAACCTATGTTTTGATTGAGCAGTTTGGAATCTCTCTTTCTGTAGAATCTGCAAGTGAATATTTGGAGCCCTATTTCGCCCTATACTGGAAAAGCAATTATCTTCAAATAAAAACTGCACAGAAGCACTCAGAGAAACTTCTTTGTGATGAATGCATTCATCACACAGAGTTGAACCTTTGTTTTGATTTAGCAGTTTGAGACAATCTTTCCGTAGAATCTTGAAGTGAATATTTGGAGGGCTTGGAGTTCTGTTTTAGAGAAGGAGATATCTTCATCAAAAACTACACAGAAGCTTTCCGAGAAACTTCTTTGTGATGTGTGCATTCAACTATCGGAGTTGAACCTATCTTATGATTGAGGAGTTTGGAAACACTCTTTGTAGAGTCTGCAAGTGGATATTTACAGAGATTTGAGGCCTATTGTGGAAAAGGAAGTATCTTCACATAAAAACCACACAGAAGCACTCTGAAAAACATCTTTGGGATGTGTGCATTCAACTAACCGTGTTGAAACAATGTTTTGATTGAGCAGCTTAGAATCTCTCTTTTTGTAGGAAATGCAAGTGGATATTTGGAGCCCCATTTCGCCCTATGGTGGAAAACGAAACATACTCACAAAAAAGCTGCAGAGAAGCATTCTGAGAAACTTCTTTGCGATGTTGGCATTCAACTCACAGTAGTCGAATCTATCTTTTGATAGAGCAGTTTTGTATCTCTCTTTTTGCAGAATCTGCAAGTGGATATTTGGAAAGCTTTGAGGCCTATTGTGGAAAGGGAAATATCCTCAAATAAAAACTACCCAGAAGCACTCTGTGAAACTTCTTTGTGATGTGTGCATTCAACTCACAGTGTTGAACCTATGTTTTGATTGAGCAGTTTGGAATCTCTCCTTTTGTAGAATCTGCAAGTGAATATTTGGAGCCCTATTTCGCCCTATACTGGAAAAGCAAATATCTTCAAATAAAAACTACACAGAGGCATTCAGAGAAACTTCTCTGAGATGAGTGCATTCATCACACAGAGTTGAACATTTGTTTAGATTTAGCAGTGTTGAGACAATCTTTCCGTAGAATCTTGAAGTGAATATTTGGAGGGCTTTGAGACCTGCTTTGGAGAAGGAGATATCTTC
Source organism: Homo sapiens (assembly GCF_000001405.40). NCBI lineage: Eukaryota > Metazoa > Chordata > Mammalia > Primates > Hominidae > Homo > Homo sapiens. The sequence goes on from NC_000015.10 coordinate 18,277,504, forward strand.
ATATAAAAACTACACAGAAGCTTTCTGAGAAACACCCTTGTGAGGTGTGCATTGAAGTCACAGAGTTAAACCTATCTTTTGATTCAGCAGATTTGAATCTCTCTTTTTGCAGAATCTGCGAGTGGATATTTGGAGTGCTTGGAAGCCTGCTGTGGAAAATCAAATATCTTCACAAAAAAAACTACACAGAAGCATTCTGAGAAACTTCTTTGTGATGTGTGCATTGATCTCACAGAGTTGAAAGTTTATTTTGATTGAGCTGTTTTGAAACACTCTTTTTCTAGAATCTGCAAGTGGATAATTGGGGGAGATTTGAGGCATATTGTGGAAAAGCAAATATCTTCATATAGAAACTATACAGAAACCTTCTGAGAAACATCTTTGTGATGTGTGCATTCAGCTCACAGAGCTGGACCTAACTTTTGAGTGACCAGTTTTGAATCTCTCTTTTTGTACAATATGCAAGTGGATATTTGGAGCGATTTGAGGCCTACATTTGAAAATCAAATATCTTCCCTTAAAAACTACACAGAAACATTCTCAGAAATTGTTTGTCATGTGTGCTTTCCAATTACCAAGTTGAACCTATCTTGTGATTGAGCAGTTTTGAATCTCTCTTTTTGTGGAATCGGCAAGTGGATATTTTTAGCCCTTTGCGGACTGTGGTGGAAAAGGAATTATCTTCAAATCAATTACTACACAGAAGCATTCAGACAAACTTCTTTGTGATGAGTGCATTGGTCACACAGAATTGAACCTTCCCTTTGATTGAGCAATTCTGAAACACTCTTTTGGAGGGTCTGCAAGTGGATATTTTAGAGCTTTGGGACAACTGTGGAAAAGTAAATATCTTCACATAAAAACTACACGGAAGCATTCTGAGAAACTTCTTTGGAGGTGTGCATTCAACTCACAGAGTTGAACCTATCTTTTCATTGAGCAGTTTTGAATCTCTCATTTTGTAGACTCTGCTCGCAGATATTTGGAGAGCTTTGAGGCCTATTGTGGAAAAGGAAATATCTTCACATAAAAACACACAGAAGCACTCTGAGAAACTTCTTTGTGAGGTGTGCTTTCAACTCACAGAGTTGAACCTATCTTTTGATTGAGAAGTTTTGAATCTCTCTTTTTGTAGAAGCTGCATGTGGATATTTGGAGACGTTTGTGGCCTATGGTAGAAAAGGAAATATCTTCAAATAAAAACTAGACAGACGCATTTTGAGAAAATTCTCTGTGCTGTGTGCATTCATATCACATGGTTGAAACTACCTTTGGATTGAGCAGTTTTGAATCTCACTTTTTGTACCATCTGCAATGGATATTTGGAGCCCTTTCTGGTCTGTGGTGGAAAAGGAACTATCCTCAAATAGAAACTACACAGAAGTACTCTGAGAAACTTCTTTGTGATGTGGGCATTCATCTCACAGAGTTGAACCTTTGGTTTGATTGAGCAGTTTTGAGACAATCTTTCCATAGAATCTGGAAGTGAATATTTGGAGAACTTTGAGATCCATTTTGGAGAAGGAGATATCTTTATATAAAAACTACACAGAAGCATTCTGAGAAACATCCTTGTGAGGTGTGCACTGAAGTCACAGAGTTGAAACTGTCTTTTGATTCAGCAGTTTTGAATCTCTCTTTTTGCAGAATCTGTGAGTGGATATTTGGAGCGCTTTGAGGCCTACTGTGGAAAACCAAATATCTTCACATAAAAACTACACAGAAGCATCCTGAGAAACTTTTTTTGTGATGTGGTCTTTCAGCTAATGGAGTAGAAACTATCTTTTGATTGAGCAGTTTTGAATCTCTCTTTTTGCAGGATCTACGAGTGGATAATTGGAGAACTTTGAGGCGTACTGTGGAAAATCGAATATCTTCGCATAAAAACTACACAGAAGCATTCTGAGAAACTTCTCTGTCATACGTACATTCATCTCACAGATGTTGATCCTATTTCATGATTGAGCAGTTTTGGAACACTCTTTTTGTAGAATCTGCAAGTGAATATTTGGAGCTCTTTGGGGCCTACTGTGGAAAAACAAATATCTTCACATAAAAACTACACAGAAGCATTCTGGGAAACTACTTTGTGATGTGTGCATTCATCCCACAGAGTAGAACCTTTCTTTTGATTGAGCAGTTTCGAAACACTCTTTTGGTGGAATCTGCAAGTGGACATTTGGAAAGCTTTGAGGCCTATTGTGGAAAGGGAAATATCTTCAAATAAAAACCACCCAGAAGTACTCTGTGAAACTTCTTTGCGATGTATGCATTCAACTCACAGTGTTGAACCTATGTTTTGATTGAGCAGTTTGGAATCTCTCTTTCTGTAGAATCTGCAAGTGAATATTTGGAGCCCTATTTCGCCCTATACTGGAAAAGCAATTATCTTCAAATAAAAACTGCACAGAAGCATTCAGAGAAACTTCTTTGACATGAATGCATTCATGACACAGAGTTGAAACTTTGTTTTGATTTAGGAGTTTTGAGACAATCTTTCCGTAGAATCTTGAAGTGAATATTTGGAGGGCTTGGAGTTCTGTTTTAGAGAAGGAGATATCTTCATCAAAAACTACACAGAAGCTTTCTGAGAAACTTCTTTGTGATGTGTGCATTCAACTATCGGAGTTGAACCTATCTTATGATTGAGCAGTTTGGAAACACTCTTTGTGGAGTCTGCAAGTGGATATTTACAGAGATTTGAGGCCTATTGTGGAAAAGGAAGTATCTTCACATAAAAACCACACAGAAGCACTCTGAAAAACATCTTTGGGATGTGTGCATTCAACTAACCGTGTTGAAACAATGTTTTGATTGAGCAGCTTAGAATCTCTCTTTTTGTAGGAAATGCAAGTGGATATTTGGAGCCCCATTTCGCCCTATGGTGGAAAACGAAACATACTCACAAAAAAGCTGCAGAGAAGCATTCTGAGAAACTTCTTTGCGATGTTGGCATTCAACTCACAGAGTCGAATCTATCTTTTGATAGAGCAGTTTTGTATCTCTCTTTTTGCAGAATCTGCAAGTGGATATTTGGAAAGCTTTGAGGCCTATTGTGGAAAGGGAAATATCCTCAAATAAAAACTACCCAGAAGCACTCTGTGAAACTTCTTTGTGATGTGTGCATTCAACTCACAGTGTTGAACCTATGTTTTGATTGAGCAGTTTGGAATCTCTCCTTTTGTAGAATCTGCAAGTGAATATTTGGAGCCCTATTTCGCCCTATACTGGAAAAGCAAATATCTTCAAATAAAAACTACACAGAGGCATTCAGAGAAACTTCTCTGTGATGAGTGCATTCATCACACAGAGTTGAACATTTGTTTAGATTTAGCAGTGTTGAGACAATCTTTCCGTAGAATCTTGAAGTGAATATTTGGAGGGCTTTGAGACCTGCTTTGGAGAAGGAGATATCTTCATATAAAAACTACACAGAAGCTTTCTGAGAAACACCCTTGTGAGGTGTGCATTGAAGTCACAGAGTTAAACCTATCTTTTGATTCAGCAGATTTGAATCTCTCTTTTTGCAGAATCTGCGAGTGGATATTTGGAGTGCTTGGAAGCCTGCTGTGGAAAATCAAATATCTTCACAAAAAAAACTACACAGAAGCATTCTGAGAAACTTCTTTGTGATGTGTGCATTGATCTCACAGAGTTGAAAGTTTATTTTGATTGAGCTGTTTTGAAACACTCTTTTTCTAGAATCTGCAAGTGGATAATTGGGGAGATTTGAGGCATATTGTGGAAAAGCAAATATCTTCATATAAAAACTATACAGAAACCTTCTGAGAAACATCTTTGTGATGTGTGCATTCAGCTCACAGAGCTGGACCTAACTTTTGAGTGACCAGTTTTGAATCTCTCTTTTTGTACAATATGCAAGTGGATATTTGGAGCGATTTGAGGCCTACATTTGAAAATCAAATATCTTCCCTTAAAAACTACACAGAAACATTCTCAGAAATTGTTTGTCATGTGTGCTTTCCAATTACCAAGTTGAACCTATCTTGTGATTGAGCAGTTTTGAATCTCTCTTTTTGTGGAATCGGCAAGTGGATATTTTTAGCCCTTTGCGGACTGTGGTGGAAAAGGAATTATCTTCAAATCAATTCTACACAGAAGCATTCAGACAAACTTCTTTGTGATGAGTGCATTGGTCACACAGAATTGAACCTTCCCTTTGATTGAGCAATTCTGAAACACTCTTTTGGAGGGTCTGCAAGTGGATATTTTAGAGCTTTGGGACAACTGTGGAAAAGTAAATATCCTCACATAAAAACTACACGGAAGTATTCTGAGAAACTTCTTTGGAGGTGTGCATTCAACTCACAGAGTTGAACCTATCTTTTCATTGAGCAGTTTTGAATCTCTCATTTTGTAGACTCTGCTCGCAGATATTTGGAGAGCTTTGAGGCCTATTGTGGAAAAGGAAATATCTTCACATAAAAACAAACAGAAGCACTCTGAGAAACTTCTTTGTGAGGTGTGCTTTCAACTCACAGAGTTGAACCTATCTTTTGATTGAGAAGTTTTGAATCTCTCTTTTTGTAGAAGCTGCATGTGGATATTTGGAGACGTTTGTGGCCTATGGTAGAAAAGGAAATATCTTCAAATAAAAACTAGACAGACGCATTTTGAGAAAATTCTCTGTGCTGTGTGCATTCATATCACATGGTTGAAACTACCTTTGGATTGAGCAGTTTTGAATCTCACTTTTTGTACCATCTGCAATGGATATTTGGAGCCCTTTCTGGTCTGTGGTGGAAAAGGAACTATCCTCAAATAGAAACTACACAGAAGTACTCTGAGAAACTTCTTTGTGATGTGGGCATTCATCTCACAGAGTTGAACCTTTGGTTTGATTGAGCAGTTTTGAGACAATCTTTCCATAGAATCTGGAAGTGAATATTTGGAGAACTTTGAGATCCATTTTGGAGAAGAGATATCTTTATATAAAAACTACACAGAAGCATTCTGAGAAACATCCTTGTGAGGTGTGCACTGAAGTCACAGAGTTGAAACTGTCTTTTGATTCAGCAGTTTTGAATCTCTCTTTTTGCAGAATCTGTGAGTGGATATTTGGAGCGCTTTGAGGCCTACTGTGGAAAACCAAATATCTTCACATAAAAACTACACAGAAGCATCCTGAGAAACTTTTTTTGTGATGTGGTCTTTCAGCTAATGGAGTAGAAACTATCTTTTGATTGAGCAGTTTTGAATCTCTCTTTTTGCAGAATCTACGAGTGGATAATTGGAGAACTTTGAGGCGTACTGTGGAAAATCGAATATCTTCGCATAAAAACTACACAGAAGCATTCTGAGAAACTTCTCTGTCATACGTACATTCATCTCACAGGGTTGATCCTATTTCATGATTGAGCAGTTTTGGAACACTCTTTTTGTAGAATCTGCAAGTGAATATTTGGAGCTCTTTGGGGCCTACTGTGGAAAAACAAATATCTTCACATAAAAACTACACAGAAGCATTCTGAGAAACTACTTTGTGATGTGTGCATTCATCCCACAGAGTAGAACCTTTCTTTTGATTGAGCAGTTTCGAAACACGCTTTTGGTGGAATCTGCAAGTGGACATTTGGAAAGCTTTGAGGCCTATTGTGGAAAGGGAAATATCTTCAAATAAAAACCACCCAGAAGTACTCTGTGAAACTTCTTTGCGATGTATGCATTCAACTCACAGTGTTGAACCTATGTTTTGATTGAGCAGTTTGGAATCTCTCTTTCTGTAGAATCTGCAAGTGAATATTTGGAGCCCTATTTCGCCCTATACTGGAAAAGCAATTATCTTCAAATAAAAACTGCACAGAAGCACTCAGAGAAACTTCTTTGAGATGAATGCATTCATGACAGAGAGTTGAAACTTTGTTTTGATTTAGGAGTTTTGAGACAATCTTTCCGTAGAATCTTGAAGTGAATATTTGGAGGGCTTGGAGTTCTGTTTTAGAGAAGAAGATATCTTCATCAAAAACTACACAGAAGCTTTCTGAGAAACTTCTTTGTGATGTGTGCATTCAACTATCGGAGTTGAACCTATCTTATGATTGAGCAGTTTGGAAACACTCTTTGTAGAGTCTGCAAGTGGATATTTACAGAGATTTGAGGCCTATTGTGGAAAAGGAAGTATCTTCACATAAAAACCACACAGAAAGCACTCTGAAAAACATCTTTGGGATGTGTGCATTCAACTAACCGTGTTGAAACAATGTTTTGATTGAGCAGCTTAGAATCTCTCTTTTTGTAGGAAATGCAAGTGGATATTTGGAGCCCCATTTCGCCCTATGGTGGAAAACGAAACATACTCACAAAAAAGCTGCAGAGAAGCATTCTGAGAAACTTCTTTGCGATGTTGGCATTCAACTCACAGAGTCGAATCTATCTTTTGATAGAGCAGTTTTGTATCTCTCTTTTTGCAGAATCTGCAAGTGGATATTTGGAAAGCTTTGAGGCCTATTGTGGAAAGGGAAATATCCTCAAATAAAAACTACCCAGAAGCACTCTGTGAAACTTCTTTGTGATGTGTGCATTCAACGCACAGTGTTGAACCTATGTTTTGATTGAGCAGTTTGGAATCTCTCCTTTTGTAGAATCTGCAAGTGAATATTTGGAGCCCTATTTCGCCCTATACTGGAAAAGCAAATATCTTCAAATAAAAACTACACAGAGGCATTCAGAGAAACTTCTCTGTGATGAGTGCATTCATCACACAGAGTTGAACATTTGTTTAGATTTAGCAGTGTTGAGACAATCTTTCCGTAGAATCTTGAAGTGAATATTTGGAGGGCTTTGAGACCTGCTTTGGAGAAGGAGATATCTTCATATAAAAACTACACAGAAGCTTTCTGAGAAACACCCTTGTGAGGTGTGCATTGAAGTCACAGAGTTAAACCTATCTTTTGATTCAGCAGATTTGAATCTCTCTTTTTGCAGAATCTGCGAGTGGATATTTGGAGTGCTTGGAAGCCTGCTGTGGAAAATCAAATATCTTCACAAAAAAAACTACACAGAAGCATTCTGAGAAACTTCTTTGTGATGTGTGCATTGATCTCACAGAGTTGAAAGTTTATTTGGATTGAGCTGTTTTGAAACACTCTTTTTCTAGAATCTGCAAGTGGATAATTGGGGAGATTTGAGGCATATTGTGGAAAAGCAAATATCTTCATATAGAAACTATACAGAAACCTTCTGAGAAACATCTTTGTGATGTGTGCATTCAGCTCACAGAGCTGGACCTAACTTTTGAGTGACCAGTTTTGAATCTCTCTTTTTGTACAATATGCAAGTGGATATTTGGAGCGATTTGAGGCCTACATTTGAAAATCAAATATCTTCCCTTAAAAACTACACAGAAACATTCTCAGAAATTGTTTGTCATGTGTGATTTCCAATTACCAAGTTGAACCTATCTTGTGATTGAGCAGTTTTGAATCTCTCTTTTTGTGGAATCGGCAAGTGGATATTTTTAGCCCTTTGCGGACTGTGGTGGAAAAGGAATTATCTTCAAATCAATTCTACACAGAAGCATTCAGACAAACTTCTTTGTGATGAGTGCATTGGTCACACAGAATTGAACCTTCCCTTTGATTGAGCAATTCTGAAACACTCTTTTGGAGGGTCTGCAAGTGGACATTTTAGAGCTTTGGGACAACTGTGGAAAAGTAAATATCTTCACATAAAAACTACACGGGAAGCATTCTGAGAAACTTCTTTGGAGGTGTGCATTCAACTCACAGAGTTGAACCTATCTTTTCATTGAGCAGTTTTGAATCTCTCATTTTGTAGACTCTGCTCGCAGATATTTGGAGAGCTTTGAGGCCTATTGTGGAAAAGGAAATATCTTCACATAAAAACACACAGAAGCACTCTGAGAAACTTCTTTGTGAGGTGTGCTTTCAACTCACAGAGTTGAACCTATCTTTTGATTGAGAAGTTTTGAATCTCTCTTTTTGTAGAAGCTGCATGTGGATATTTGGAGACGTTTGTGGCCTATGGTAGAAAAGGAAATATCTTCAAATAAAAACTAGACAGACGCATTTTGAGAAAATTCTCTGTGCTGTGTGCATTCATATCACATGGTTGAAACTACCTTTGGATTGAGCAGTTTTGAATCTCACTTTTTGTACCATCTGCAATGGATATTTGGAGCCCTTTCTGGTCTGTGGTGGAAAAGGAACTATCCTCAAATAGAAACTACACAGAAGTACTCTGAGAAACTTCTTTGTGATGTGGGCATTCATCTCACAGAGTTGAACCTTTGGTTTGATTGAGCAGTTTTGAGACAATCTTTCCATAGAATCTGGAAGTGAATATTTGGAGAACTTTGAGATCCATTTTGGAGAAGGAGATATCTTTATATGAAAACTACACAGAAGCATTCTGAGAAACATCCTTGTGAGGTGTGCACTGAAGTCACAGTGTTGAAACTGTCTTTTGATTCAGCAGTTTTGAATCTCTCTTTTTGCAGAATCTGTGAGTGGATATTTGGAGCGCTTTGAGGCCTACTGTGGAAAACCAAATATCTTCACATAAAAACTACACAGAAGCATCCTGAGAAACTTTTTTTGTGATGTGGTCTTTCAGCTAATGGAGTAGAAACTATCTTTTGATTGAGCAGTTTTGAATCTCTCTTTTTGCAGAATCTACGAGTGGATAATTGGAGAACTTTGAGGCGTACTGTGGAAAGTCGAATATCTTCGCATAAAAACTACACAGAAGCATTCTGAGAAACTTCTCTGTCATACGTACATTCATCTCACAGGGTTGATCCTATTTCATGATTGAGCAGTTTTGGAACACTCTTTTTGTAGAATCTGCAAGTGAATATTTGGAGCTCTTTGGGGCCTACTGTGGAAAAACAAATATCTTCACATAAAAACTACACAGAAGCATTCTGAGAAACTACTTTGTGATGTGTGCATTCATCCCACAGAGTAGAACCTTTCTTTTGATTGAGCAGTTTCGAAACACTCTTTTGGTGGAATCTGCAAGTGGACATTTGGAAAGCTTTGAGGCCTATTGTGGAAAGGGAAATATCTTCAAATAAAAACCACCCAGAAGTACTCTGTGAAACTTCTTTGCGATGTATGCATTCAACTCACAGTGTTGAACCTATGTTTTGATTGAGCAGTTTGGAATCTCTCTTTCTGTAGAATCTGCAAGTGAATATTTGGAGCCCTATTTCGCCCTATACTGGAAAAGCAATTATCTTCAAATAAAAACTGCACAGAAGCATTCAGAGAAACTTCTTTGAGATGAATGCATTCATGACACAGAGTTGAAACTTTGTTTTGATTTAGGAGTTTTGAGACAATCTTTCCGTAGAATCTTGAAGTGAATATTTGGAGGGCTTGGAGTTCTGTTTTAGAGAAGGAGATATCTTCATCAAAAACTACACAGAAGCTTTCTGAGAAACTTCTTTGTGATGTGTGCATTCAACTATCGGAGTTGAACCTATCTTATGATTGAGCAGTTTGGAAACACTCTTTGTAGAGTCTGCAAGTGGATATTTACAGAGATTTGAGGCCTATTGTGGAAAAGGAAGTATCTTCACATAAAAACCACACAGAAGCACTCTGAAAAACATCTTTGGGATGTGTGCATTCAACTAACCGTGTTGAAACAATGTTTTGATTGAGCAGCTTAGAATCTCTCTTTTTGTAGGAAATGCAAGTGGATATTTGGAGCCCCATTTCGCCCTATGGTGGAAAACGAAACATACTCACAAAAAAGCTGCAGAGAAGCATTCTGAGAAACTTCTTTGCGATGTTGGCATTCAACTCACAGAGTCGAATCTATCTTTTGATAGAGCAGTTTTGTATCTCTCTTTTTGCAGAATCTGCAAGTGGATATTTGGAAAGCTTTGAGGCCTATTGTGGAAAGGGAAATATCCTCAAATAAAAACTACCCAGAAGCACTCTGTGAAACTTCTTTGTGATGTGTGCATTCAACTCACAGTGTTGAACCTATGTTTTGATTGAGCAGTTTGGAATCTCTCCTTTTGTAGAATCTGCAAGTGAATATTTGGAGCCCTATTTCGCCCTATACTGGAAAAGCAAATATCTTCAAATAAAAACTACACAGAGGCATTCAGAGAAACTTCTCTGTGATGAGTGCATTCATCACACAGAGTTGAACATTTGTTTAGATTTAGCAGTGTTGAGACAATCTTTCCGTAGAATCTTGAAGTGAATATTTGGAGGGCTTTGAGACCTGCTTTGGAGAAGGAGATATCTTCATATAAAAACTACACAGAAGCTTTCTGAGAAACACCCTTGTGAGGTGTGCATTGAAGTCACAGAGTTAAACCTATCTTTTGATTCAGCAGATTTGAATCTCTCTTTTTGCAGAATCTGCGAGTGGATATTTGGAGTGCTTGGAAGCCTGCTGTGGAAAATCAAATATCTTCACAAAAAAAACTACACAGAAGCATTCTGAGGAAACTTCTTTGTGATGTGTGCATTGATCTCACAGAGTTGAAAGTTTATTTTGATTGAGCTGTTTTGAAACACTCTTTTTCTAGAATCTGCAAGTGGATAATTGGGGAGATTTGAGGCATATTGTGGAAAAGCAAATATCTTCATATAAAAACTATACAGAAACCTTCTGAGAAACATCTTTGTGATGTGTGCATTCAGCTCACAGAGCTGGACCTAACTTTCGAGTGACCAGTTTTGAATCTCTCTTTTTGTACAATATGCAAGTGGATATTTGGAGCGATTTGAGGCCTACATTTGAAAATCAAATATCTTCCCTTAAAAACTACACAGAAACATTCTCAGAAATTGTTTGTCATGTGTGCTTTCCAATTACCAAGTTGAACCTATCTTGTGATTGAGCAGTTTTGAATCTCTCTTTTTGTGGAATCGGCAAGTGGATATTTTTAGCCCTTTGCGGACTGTGGTGGAAAAGGAATTATCTTCAAATCAATTCTACACAGAAGCATTCAGACAAACTTCTTTGTGATGAGTGCATTGGTCACACAGAATTGAACCTTCCCTTTGATTGAGCAATTCTGAAACACTCTTTTGGAGGGTCTGCAAGTGGACATTTTAGAGCTTTGGGACAACTGTGGAAAAGTAAATATCTTCACATAAAAACTACACGGGAAGCATTCTGAGAAACTTCTTTGGAGGTGTGCATTCAACTCACAGAGTTGAACCTATCTTTTCATTGAGCAGTTTTGAATCTCTCATTTTGTAGACTCTGCTCGCAGATATTTGGAGAGCTTTGAGGCCTATTGTGGAAAAGGAAATATCTTCACATAAAAACACACAGAAGCACTCTGAGAAACTTCTTTGTGAGGTGTGCTTTCAACTCACAGAGTTGAACCTATCTTTTGATTGAGAAGTTTTGAATCTCTCTTTTTGTAGAAGCTGCATGTGGATATTTGGAGACGTTTGTGGCCTATGGTAGAAAAGAAAATATCTTCAAATAAAAACTAGACAGACGCATTTTGAGAAAATTCTCTGTGCTGTGTGCATTCATATCACATGGTTGAAACTACCTTTGGATTGAGCAGTTTTGAATCTCACTTTTTGTACCATCTGCAATGGATATTTGGAGCCCTTTCTGGTCTGTGGTGGAAAAGGAACTATCCTCAAATAGAAACTACACAGAAGTACTCTGAGAAACTTCTTTGTGATGTGTGCATTCATCTCACGGAGTTGAACCTTTGGTTTGATTGAGCAGTTTTGAGACAATCTTTCCATAGAATCTGGAAGTGAATATTTGGAGAACTTTGAGATCCATTTTGGAGAAGGAGATATCTTTATATAAAAACTACACAGAAGCATTCTGAGAAACATCCTTGTGAGGTGTGCACTGAAGTCACAGAGTTGAAACTGTCTTTTGATTCAGCAGTTTTGAATCTCTCTTTTTGCAGAATCTGTGAGTGGATATTTGGAGCGCTTTGAGGCCTACTGTGGAAAACCAAATATCTTCACATAAAAACTACACAGAAGCATCCTGAGAAACTTTTTTTGTGATGTGGTCTTTCAGCTAATGGAGTAGAAACTATCTTTTGATTGAGCAGTTTTGAATCTCTCTTTTTGCAGGATCTACGAGTGGATAATTGGAGAACTTTGAGGCGTACTGTGGAAAGTCGAATATCTTCGCATAAAAACTACACAGAAGCATTCTGAGAAACTTCTCTGTCATACGTACATTCATCTCACAGGGTTGATCCTATTTCATGATGGAGCAGTTTTGGAACACTCTTTTTGTAGAATCTGCAAGTGAATATTTGGAGCTCTTTGGGGCCTACTGTGGAAAAACAAATATCTTCACATAAAAACTACACAGAAGCATTCTGAGAAACTACTTTGTGATGTGTGCATTCATCCCACAGAGTAGAACCTTTCTTTTGATTGAGCAGTTTCGAAACACTCTTTTGGTGGAATCTGCAAGTGGACATTTGGAAAGCTTTGAGGCCTATTGTGGAAAGGGAAATATCTTCAAATAAAAACCACCCCAGAAGTACTCTGTGAAACTTCTTTGCGATGTATGCATTCAACTCACAGTGTTGAACCTATGTTTTGATTGAGCAGTTTGGAATCTCTCTTTCTGTAGAATCTGCAAGTGAATATTTGGAGCCCTATTTCGCCCTATACTGGAAAAGCAATTATCTTCAAATAAAAACTGCACAGAAGCACTCAGAGAAACGTCTTTGTGATGAATGCATTCATCACACAGAGTTGAACCTTTGTTTTGATTTAGCAGTTTGAGACAATCTTTCCGTAGAATCTTGAAGTGAATATTTGGAGGGCTTGGAGTTCTGTTTTAGAGAAGAAGATATCTTCATCAAAAACTACACAGAAGCTTTCTGAGAAACTTCTTTGTGATGTGTGCATTCAACTATCGGAGTTGAACCTATCTTATGATTGAGCAGTTTGGAAACACTCTTTGTAGAGTCTGCAAGTGGATATTTACAGAGATTTGAGGCCTATTGTGGAAAAGGAAGTATCTTCACATAAAAACCACACAGAAGCACTCTGAAAAACGTCTTTGGGATGTGTGCATTCAACTAACCGTGTTGAAACAATGTTTTGATTGAGCAGCTTAGAATCTCTCTTTTTGTAGGAAATGCAAGTGGATATTTGGAGCCCCATTTCGCCCTATGGTGGAAAACGAAACATACTCACAAAAAAGCTGCAGAGAAGCATTCTGAGAAACTTCTTTGCGATGTTGGCATTCAACTCACAGAGTCGAATCTATCTTTTGATAGAGCAGTTTTGTATCTCTCTTTTTGCAGAATCTGCAAGTGGATATTTGGAAAGCTTTGAGGCCTATTGTGGAAAGGGAAATATCCTCAAATAAAAACTACCCAGAAGCACTCTGTGAAACTTCTTTGTGATGTGTGCATTCAACTCACAGTGTTGAACCTATGTTTTGATTGAGCAGTTTGGAATCTCTCCTTTTGTAGAATCTGCAAGTGAATATTTGGAGCCCTATTTCGCCCTATACTGGAAAAGCAAATATCTTCAAATAAAAACTACACAGAGGCATTCAGAGAAACTTCTCTGTGATGAGTGCATTCATCACACAGAGTTGAACATTTGTTTAGATTTAGCAGTGTTGAGACAATCTTTCCGTAGAATCTTGAAGTGAATATTTGGAGGGCTTTGAGACCTGCTTTGGAGAAGGAGATATCTTCATATAAAAACTACACAGAAGCTTTCTGAGGAACACCCTTGTGAGGTGTGCATTGAAGTCACAGAGTTAAACCTATCTTTTGATTCAGCAGATTTGAATCTCTCTTTTTGCAGAATCTGCGAGTGGATATTTGGAGTGCTTGGAAGCCTGCTGTGGAAAATCAAATATCTTCACAAAAAAAACTACACAGAAGCATTCTGAGAAACTTCTTTGTGATGTGTGCATTGATCTCACAGAGTTGAAAGTTTATTTTGATTGAGCTGTTTTGAAACACTCTTTTTCTAGAATCTGCAAGTGGATAATTGGGGAGATTTGAGGCATATTGTGGAAAAGCAAATATCTTCATATAGAAACTATACAGAAACCTTCTGAGAAACATCTTTGTGATGTGTGCATTCAGCTCACAGAGCTGGACCTAACTTTTGAGTGACCAGTTTTGAATCTCTCTTTTTGTACAATATGCAAGTGGATATTTGGAGCGATTTGAGGCCTACATTTGAAAATCAAATATCTTCCCTTAAAAACTACACAGAAACATTCTCAGAAATTGTTTGTCATGTGTGCTTTCCAATTACCAAGTTGAACCTATCTTGTGATTGAGCAGTTTTGAATCTCTCTTTTTGTGGAATCGGCAAGTGGATATTTTTAGCCCTTTGCGGACTGTGGTGGAAAAGGAATTATCTTCAAATCAATTCTACACAGAAGCATTCAGACAAACTTCTTTGTGATGAGTGCATTGGTCACAAAGAATTGAACCTTCCCTTTGATTGAGCAATTCTGAAACACTCTTTTGGAGGGTCTGCAAGTGGACATTTTAGAGCTTTGGGACAACTGTGGAAAAGTAAATACCTTCACATAAAAACTGCACGGGAAGCATTCTGAGAAACTTCTTTGGAGGTGTGCATTCAACTCACAGAGTTGAACCTATCTTTTCATTGAGCAGTTTTGAATCTCTCATTTTGTAGACTCTGCTCGCAGATATTTGGAGAGCTTTGAGGCCTATTGTGGAAAAGGAAATATCTTCACATAAAAACACACAGAAGCACTCTGAGAAACTTCTTTGTGAGGTGTGCTTTCAACTCACAGAGTTGAACCTATCTTTTGATTGAGAAGTTTTGAATCTCTCTTTTTGTAGAAGCTGCATGTGGATATTTGGAGACGTTTGTGGCCTATGGTAGAAAAGGAAATATCTTCAAATAAAAACTAGACAGACGCATTTTGAGAAAATTCTCTGTGCTGTGTGCATTCATATCACATGGTTGAAACTACCTTTGGATTGAGCAGTTTTGAATCTCACTTTTTGTACCATCTGCAATGGATATTTGGAGCCCTTTCTGGTCTGTGGTGGAAAAGGAACTATCCTCAAATAGAAACTACACAGAAGTACTCTGAGAAACTTCTTTGTGATGTGGGCATTCATCTCACAGAGTTGAACCTTTGGTTTGATTGAGCAGTTTTGAGACAATCTTTCCATAGAATCTGGAAGTGAATATTTGGAGAACTTTGAGATCCATTTTGGAGAAGGAGATATCTTTATATAAAAACTACACAGAAGCATTCTGAGAAACATCCTTGTGAGGTGTGCACTGAAGTCACAGAGTTGAAACTGTCTTTTGATTCAGCAGTTTTGAATCTCTCTTTTTGCAGAATCTGTGAGTGGATATTTGGAGCGCTTTGAGGCCTACTGTGGAAAACCAAATATCTTCACATAAAAACTACACAGAAGCATCCTGAGAAACTTTTTTTGTGATGTGGTCTTTCAGCTAATGGAGTAGAAACTATCTTTTGATTGAGCAGTTTTGAATCTCTCTTTTTGCAGGATCTACGAGTGGCTAATTGGAGAACTTTGAGGCGTACTGTGGAAAGTCGAATATCTTCGCATAAAAACTACACAGAAGCATTCTGAGAAACTTCTCTGTCATACGTACATTCATCTCACAGGGTTGATCCTATTTCATGATTGAGCAGTTTTGGAACACTCTTTTTGTAGAATCTGCAAGTGAATATTTGGAGCTCCTTGGGGCCTACTGTGGAAAAACAAATATCTTCACATAAAAACTACACAGAAGCATTCTGAGAAACTACTTTGTGATGTGTGCATTCATCCCACAGAGTAGAACCTTTCTTTTGATTGAGCAGTTTCGAAACACTCTTTTGGTGGAATCTGCAAGTGGACATTTGGAAAGCTTTGAGGCCTATTGTGGAAAGGGAAATATCTTCAAATAAAAACCACCCAGAAGTACTCTGTGAAACTTCTTTGCGATGTATGCATTCAACTCACAGTGTTGAACCTATGTTTTGATTGAGCAGTTTGGAATCTCTCTTTCTGTAGAATCTGCAAGTGAATATTTGGAGCCCTATTTCGCCCTATACTGGAAAAGCAATTATCTTCAAATAAAAACTGCACAGGAAGCACTCAGAGAAACTTCTTTGTGATGAATGCATTCATCACACAGAGTTGAACCTTTGTTTTGATTTAGCAGTTTGAGACAATCTTTCCGTAGAATCTTGAAGTGAATATTTGGAGGGCTTGGAGTTCTGTTTTAGAGAAGAAGATATCTTCATCAAAAACTACACAGAAGCTTTCTGAGAAACTTCTTTGTGATGTGTGCATTGAACTATCGGAGTTGAACCTATCTTATGATTGAGGAGTTTGGAAACACTCTTTGTAGAGTCTGCAAGTGGATATTTACAGAGATTTGAGGCCTATTGTGGAAAAGGAAGTATCTTCACATAAAAACCACACAGAAGCACTCTGAAAAACATCTTTGGGATGTGTGCATTCAACTAACCGTGTTGAAACAATGTTTTGATTGAGCAGCTTAGAATCTCTCTTTTTGTAGGAAATGCAAGTGGATATTTGGAGCCCCATTTCGCCCTATGGTGGAAAACGAAACATACTCACAAAAAAGCTGCAGAGAAGCATTCTGAGAAACTTCTTTGCGATGTTGGCATTCAACTCACAGAGTCGAATCTATCTTTTGATAGAGCAGTTTTGTATCTCTCTTTTTGCAGAATCTGCAAGTGGATATTTGGAAAGCTTTGAGGCCTATTGTGGAAAGGGAAATATCCTCAAATAAAAACTACCCAGAAGTACTCTGTGAAACTTCTTTGCGATGTATGCATTCAACTCACAGTGTTGAACCTATGTTTTGATTGAGCAGTTTGGAATCTCTCCTTTTGTAGAATCTGCAAGTGAATATTTGGAGCCCTATTTCGCCCTATACTGGAAAAGCAAATATCTTCAAATAAAAACTACACAGAGGCATTCAGAGAAACTTCTCTGTGATGAGTGCATTCATCACACAGAGTTGAACATTTGTTTAGATTTAGCAGTGTTGAGACAATCTTTCCGTAGAATCTTGAAGTGAATATTTGGAGGGCTTTGAGACCTGCTTTGGAGAAGGAGATATCTTCATATAAAAACTACACAGAAGCTTTCTGAGAAACACCCTTGTGAGGTGTGCATTGAAGTCACAGAGTTAAACCTATCTTTTGATTCAGCAGATTTGAATCTCTCTTTTTGCAGAATCTGCGAGTGGATATTTGGAGTGCTTGGAAGCCTGCTGTGGAAAATCAAATATCTTCACAAAAAAAACTACACAGAAGCATTCTGAGAAACTTCTTTGTGATGTGTGCATTGATCTCACAGAGTTGAAAGTTTATTTTGATTGAGCTGTTTTGAAACACTCTTTTTCTAGAATCTGCAAGTGGATAATTGGGGAGATTTGAGGCATATTGTGGAAAAGCCAATATCTTCATATAAAAACTATACAGAAACCTTCTGAGAAACATCTTTGTGATGTGTGCATTCAGCTCACAGAGCTGGACCTAACTTTTGAGTGACCAGTTTTGAATCTCTCTTTTTGTACAATATGCAAGTGGATATTTGGAGCGATTTGAGGCCTACATTTGTAAATCAAATATCTTCCCTTAAAATCTACACAGAAACATTCTCAGAAATTGTTTGTCATGTGTGCTTTCCAATTACCAAGTTGAACCTATCTTGTGATTGAGCAGTTTTGAATCTCTCTTTTTGTGGAATCGGCAAGTGGATATTTTTAGCCCTTTGCGGACTGTGGTGGAAAAGGAATTATCTTCAAATCAATTCTACACAGAAGCATTCAGACAAACTTCTTTGTGATGAGTGCATTGGTCACACAGAATTGAACCTTCCCTTTGATTGAGCAATTCTGAAACACTCTTTTGGAGGGTCTGCAAGTGGACATTTTAGAGCTTTGGGACAACTGTGGAAAAGTAAATATCTTCACATAAAAACTACACGGGAAGCATTCTGAGAAACTTCTTTGGAGGTGTGCATTCAACTCACAGAGTTGAACCTATCTTTTCATTGAGCAGTTTTGAATCTCTCATTTTGTAGACTCTGCTCGCAGATATTTGGAGAGCTTTGAGGCCTATTGTGGAAAAGGAAATATCTTCACATAAAAACACACAGAAGCACTCTGAGAAACTTCTTTGTGAGGTGTGCTTTCAACTCACAGAGTTGAACCTATCTTTTGATTGAGAAGTTTTGAATCTCTCTTTTTGTAGAAGCTGCATGTGGATATTTGGAGACGTTTGTGGCCTATGGTAGAAAAGGAAATATCTTCAAATAAAAACTAGACAGACGCATTTTGAGAAAATTCTCTGTGCTGTGTGCATTCATATCACATGGTTGAAACTACCTTTGGATTGAGCAGTTTTGAATCTCACTTTTTGTACCATCTGCAATGGATATTTGGAGCCCTTTCTGGTCTGTGGTGGAAAAGGAACTATCCTCAAATAGAAACTACACAGAAGTACTCTGAGAAACTTCTTTGTGATGTGGGCATTCATCTCACAGAGTTGAACCTTTGGTTTGATTGAGCAGTTTTGAGACAATCTTTCCATAGAATCTGGAAGTGAATATTTGGAGAACTTTGAGATCCATTTTGGAGAAGGAGATATCTTTAAATAAAAACTACACAGAAGCATTCTGAGAAACATCCTTGTGAGGTGTGCACTGAAGTCACAGAGTTGAAACTGTCTTTTGATTCAGCAGTTTTGAATCTCTCTTTTTGCAGAATCTGTGAGTGGATATTTGGAGCGCTTTGAGGCCTACTGTGGAAAACCAAATATCTTCACATAAAAACTACACAGAAGCATCCTGAGAAACTTTTTTTGTGATGTGGTCTTTCAGCTAATGGAGTAGAAACTATCTTTTGATTGAGCAGTTTTGAGTCTCTCTTTTTGCAGAATCTACGAGTGGATAATTGGAGAACTTTGAGGCGTACTGTGGAAAATCGAATATCTTCGCATAAAAACTACACAGAAGCATTCTGAGAAACTTCTCTGTCATACGTACATTCATCTCACAGGGTTGATCCTATTTCATGATTGAGCAGTTTTGGAACACTCTTTTTGTAGAATCTGCAAGTGAATATTTGGAGCTCTTTGGGGCCTACTGTGGAAAAACAAATATCTTCACATAAAAACTACACAGAAGCATTCTGAGAAACTACTTTGTGATGTGTGCATTCATCCCACAGAGTAGAACCTTTCTTTTGATTGAGCAGTTTCGAAACACTCTTTTGGTGGAATCTGCAAGTGGACATTTGGAAAGCTTTGAGGCCTATTGTGGAAAGGGAAATATCTTCAAATAAAAACCACCCAGAAGTACTCTGTGAAACTTCTTTGCGATGTATGCATTCAACTCACAGTGTTGAACCTATGTTTTGATTGAGCAGTTTGGAATCTCTCTTTCTGTAGAATCTGCAAGTGAATATTTGGAGCCCTATTTCGCCCTATACTGGAAAAGCAATTATCTTCAAATAAAAACTGCACAGAAGCACTCAGAGAAACTTCTTTGTGATGAATGCATTCATCACACAGAGTTGAACCTTTGTTTTGATTTAGGAGTTTTGAGACAATCCTTCCGTAGAATCTTGAAGTGAATATTTGGAGGGCTTGGAGTTCTGTTTTAGAGAAGAAGATATCTTCATCAAAAACTACACAGAAGCTTTCTGAGAAACTTCTTTGTGATGTGTGCATTCAACTATCGGAGTTGAACCTATCTTATGATTGAGCAGTGTGGAAACACTCATTGTAGAGTCTGCAAGTGGATATTTACAGAGATTTGAGGCCTATTGTGGAAAAGGAAGTATCTTCACATAAAAACCACACAGAAGCACTCTGAAAAACATCTTTGGGATGTGTGCATTCAACTAACCGTGTTGAAACAATGTTTTGATTGAGCAGCTTAGAATCTCTCTTTTTGTAGGAAATGCAAGTGGATATTTGGAGCCCCATTTCGCCCTATGGTGGAAAACGAAACATACTCACAAAAAAGCTGCAGAGAAGCATTCTGAGAAACTTCTTTGCGATGTTGGCATTCAACTCACAGAGTCGAATCTATCTTTTGATAGAGCAGTTTTGTATCTCTCTTTTTGCAGAATCTGCAAGTGGATATTTGGAAAGCTTTGAGGCCTATTGTGGAAAGGGAAATATCCTCAAATAAAAACTACCCAGAAGCACTCTGTGAAACTTCTTTGTGATGTGTGCATTCAACTCACAGTGTTGAACCTATGTTTTGATTGAGCAGTTTGGAATCTCTCCTTTTGTAGAATCTGCAAGTGAATATTTGGAGCCCTATTTCGCCCTATACTGGAAAAGCAAATATCTTCAAATAAAAACTACACAGAGGCATTCAGAGAAACTTCTCTGTGATGAGTGCATTCATCACACAGAGTTGAACATTTGTTTAGATTTAGCAGTGTTGAGACAATCTTTCCGTAGAATCTTGAAGTGAATATTTGGAGGGCTTTGAGACCTGCTTTGGAGAAGGAGATATCTTCATATAAAAACTACACAGAAGCTTTCTGAGAAACACCCCTTGTGAGGTGTGCATTGAAGTCACAGAGTTAAACCTATCTTTTGATTCAGCAGATTTGAATCTCTCTTTTTGCAGAATCTGCGAGTGGATATTTGGAGTGCTTGGAAGCCTGCTGTGGAAAATCAAATATCTTCACAAAAAAAACTACACAGAAAGCATTCTGAGAAACTTCTTTGTGATGTGTGCATTGATCTCACAGAGTTGAAAGTTTATTTTGATTGAGCTGTTTTGAAACACTCTTTTTCTAGAATCTGCAAGTGGATAATTGGGGAGATTTGAGGCATATTGTGGAAAAGCCAATATCTTCATATAGAAACTATACAGAAACCTTCTGAGAAACATCTTTGTGATGTGTGCATTCAGCTCACAGAGCTGGACCTAACTTTTGAGTGACCAGTTTTGAATCTCTCTTTTTGTACAATATGCAAGTGGATATTTGGAGCGATTTGAGGCCTACATTTGAAAATCAAATATCTTCCCTTAAAAACTACACAGAAACATTCTCAGAAATTGTTTGTCATGTGTGCTTTCCAATTACCAAGTTGAACCTATCTTGTGATTGAGCAGTTTTGAATCTCTCTTTTTGTGGAATCGGCAAGTGGATATTTTTAGCCCTTTGCGGACTGTGGTGGAAAAGGAATTATCTTCAAATCAATTCTACACAGAAGCATTCAGACAAACTTCTTTGTGATGAGTGCATTCGTCACACAGAGTTGATCCTTTCCTTTGATTGAGCAACTCTGAAACACTCTTTTAGAGGGTCTGCAAGTGGATATTTTAGAGCTTTGGGACAATTGTGGAAAAGTAAATATCTTCACATAAAAACTACACAGAAGCATTCTGAGAAACTTCTTTGTGAGATGTGCATTCAACTCACAGAGTTGAACCTATCTTTTCATTGAGCAGTTTTGAATCTCTCTTTTTGTAGACTCTGCTTGCGGATATTTGGAGAGCTTTGAGGCCTATTGTGGAAAAGGAAATATCTTCACATAAAAACACACAGAAGCGTTCTGAGAAACTTCTTTGTGAGGTGTGCATTCAACCACAGAGTTGAACCTATCTTTTGATTGAGCAGTTTTGAATCTCTCTTTTTGTAGAAGCTGCATGTGGCTATTTGGAGACGTTTGTGGCCTATGGTGGAAAAGGAAATACCTTCAAATAAAAACTAGACAGAAGCATTCTGAGAAACTTCTTTGTGAGGTGTGCATTCAACCACAGAGTTGAACCTATCTTTTGATTGAGCAGTTTTGAATCTCTCTTTTTGTACCATCTGCAAGTGGATATTTGGAGCCCTTTGTGGTCTATGGTGGAAAAGGAACTATCCTCAAATAAAAACTACACAGAAGTATTCTGAGAAACTTCTTCGTGATGTGTGCATTCATCTCACAGAGTTGAACCTTTGTTTTGCTTGAGCAGTTTTGAGACCATCTTTCCATAGGATCTGGAAGTGAATATTTGGAGGGCTTTGAGATCTATTTTGGAGAAGGAGATATCTTCATATAAAAACTATACAGAAGCATTCTGAGAAACATCTTTGTGAGGTGTGCACTGAAGTCACAGAGTTAAAACTACCTTTTGATTCAGCAGTTTTGAATCTCTCTTTTTGCAGAATCTGTGAGTGAATATTTGGAGCGCTTTGTGGCCTACTGTGGAAAACCAAATATCTTCACATAAAAACTACACAGAAGCATTCTGAGAAACTTCTTTGTGATGTGGTCTTTCAACTAATAGAGTTGAACCTATCTTTCGATTGAGCAGTTTTGAATCTCTCTTTTTGCAGAATCTGCAAGTGGATATTTGGAGAACTTTGAGGTCTACTGTGGAAAATCAAATATCTTCCCATAAAAACTGCACAGAAGCATTCTGAGAAACTTCTTTGTCATACGTACATTCACAGGGTTGATCCTATTTTATTATTGAGCACTTTTGAAACACTCTTTTTGTAGAATCTGCAAGTGAATATTTGGAGCTCATTGGGGCCTACTGTGGAAAAACCAATATCTTCACATAAAAACTACACAGAAGCATTCTGGGAAACTACTTTGTGATGTGTGCATTCATCCCACAGAGTAGAACCTTTCTTTTGATTGAGCAGTTTCGAAACACTCTTTTGGTGGAATCTGCAAGTGGACATTTGGAAAGCTTTGAGGCCTATTGTGGAAAGGGAAATATCTTCAAATAAAAACCACCCAGAAGTACTCTGTGAAACTTCTTTGCGATGTATGCATTCAACTCACAGTGTTGAACCTATGTTTTGATTGAGCAGTTTGGAATCTCTCTTTCTGTAGAATCTGCAAGTGAATATTTGGAGCCCTATTTCGCCCTATACTGGAAAAGCAATTATCTTCAAATAAAAACTGCACAGAAGCATTCAGAGAAACTTCTTTGAGATGAATGCATTCATGACACAGAGTTGAAACTTTGTTTTGATTTAGGAGTTTTGAGACAATCTTTCCGTAGAATCTTGAAGTGAATATTTGGAGGGCTTGGAGTTCTGTTTTAGAGAAGGAGATATCTTCATCAAAAACTGCAGAGAAGCTTTCTGAGAAACTTCTTTGTGATGTGTGCATTCAACTATCGGAGTTGAACCTATCTTATGATTGAGCAGTTTGGAAACACTCTTTGTAGAGTCTGCAAGTGGATATTTACAGAGATTTGAGGCCTATTGTGGAAAAGGAAGTATCTTCACATAAAAACCACACAGAAGCACTCTGAAAAACATCTTTGGGATGTGTGCATTCAACTAACCGTGTTGAAACAATGTTTTGATTGAGCAGCTTAGAATCTCTCTTTTTGTAGGAAATGCAAGTGGATATTTGGAGCCCCATTTCGCCCTATGGTGGAAAACGAAACATACTCACAAAAAAGCTGCAGAGAAGCATTCTGAGAAACTTCTTTGCGATGTTGGCATTCAACTCACAGAGTCGAATCTATCTTTTGATAGAGCAGTTTTGTATCTCTCTTTTTGCAGAATCTGCAAGTGGATATTTGGAAAGCTTTGAGGCCTATTGTGGAAAGGGAAATATCCTCAAATAAAAACTACCCAGAAGCACTCTGTGAAACTTCTTTGTGATGTGTGCATTCAACTCACAGTGTTGAACCTATGTTTTGATTGAGCAGTTTGGAATCTCTCCTTTTGTAGAATCTGCAAGTGAATATTTGGAGCCCTATTTCGCCCTATACTGGAAAAGCAAATATCTTCAAATAAAAACTACACAGAGGCATTCAGAGAAACTTCTCTGTGATGAGTGCATTCATCACACAGAGTTGAACATTTGTTTAGATTTAGCAGTGTTGAGACAATCTTTCCGTAGAATCTTGAAGTGAATATTTGGAGGGCTTTGAGACCTGCTTTGGAGAAGGAGATATCTTCATATAAAA
This sequence comes from Homo sapiens, assembly GCF_000001405.40. NCBI lineage: Eukaryota > Metazoa > Chordata > Mammalia > Primates > Hominidae > Homo > Homo sapiens. Next base: position 18,301,421 of record NC_000015.10, read on the forward strand.
ACTACACAGAAGCTTTCTGAGAAACACCCTTGTGAGGTGTGCATTGAAGTCACAGAGTTAAACCTATCTTTTGATTCAGCAGATTTGAATCTCTCTAATTGCAGAATCTGCGAGTGGATATTTGGAGTGCTTGGAAGCCTGCTGTGGAAAATCAAATATCTTCACAAAAAAAACTACACAGAAGCATTCTGAGAAACTTCTTTGGGATGTGTGCATTGATCTCACAGAGTTGAAAGTTTATTTTGATTGAGCTGTTTTGAAACACTCTTTTTCTAGAATCTGCAAGTGGATAATTGGGGAGATTTGAGGCATATTGTGGAAAAGCAAATATCTTCATATAGAAACTATACAGAAACCTTCTGAGAAACATCTTTGTGATGTGTGCATTCAGCTCACAGAGCTGGACCTAACTTTTGAGTGACCAGTTTTGAATCTCTCTTTTTGTACAATATGCAAGTGGATATTTGGAGCGATTTGAGGCCTACATTTGAAAATCAAATATCTTCCCTTAAAAACTACACAGAAACATTCTCAGAAATTGTTTGTCATGTGTGCTTTCCAATTACCAAGTTGAACCTATCTTGTGATTGAGCAGTTTTGAATCTCTCTTTTTGTGGAATCGGCAAGTGGATATTTTTAGCCCTTTGCGGACTGTGGTGGAAAAGGAATTATCTTCAAATCAATTCTACACAGAAGCATTCAGACAAACTTCTTTGTGATGAGTGCATTGGTCACACAGAATTGAACCTTCCCTTTGATTGAGCAATTCTGAAACACTCTTTTGGAGGGTCTGCAAGTGGATATTTTAGAGCTTTGGGACAACTGTGGAAAAGTAAATATCTTCACATAAAAACTACACGGAAGCATTCTGAGAAACTTCTTTGGAGGTGTGCATTCAACTCACAGAGTTGAACCTATCTTTTCATTGAGCAGTTTTGAATCTCTCATTTTGTAGACTCTGCTCGCAGATATTTGGAGAGCTTTGAGGCCTATTGTGGAAAAGGAAATATCTTCACATAAAAACACACAGAAGCACTCTGAGAAACTTCTTTGTGAGGTGTGCTTTCAACTCACAGAGTTGAACCTATCTTTTGATTGAGAAGTTTTGAATCTCTCTTTTTGTAGAAGCTGCATGTGGATATTTGGAGACGTTTGTGGCCTATGGTAGAAAAGGAAATATCTTCAAATAAAAACTAGACAGACGCATTTTGAGAAAATTCTCTGTGCTGTGTGCATTCATATCACATGGTTGAAACTACCTTTGGATTGAGCAGTTTTGAATCTCACTTTTTGTACCATCTGCAATGGATATTTGGAGCCCTTTCTGGTCTGTGGTGGAAAAGGAACTATCCTCAAATAGAAACTACACAGAAGTACTCTGAGAAACTTCTTTGTGATGTGGGCATTCATCTCACAGAGTTGAACCTTTGGTTTGATTGAGCAGTTTTGAGACAATCTTTCCATAGAATCTGGAAGTGAATATTTGGAGAACTTTGAGATCCATTTTGGAGAAGGAGATATCTTTATATAAAAACTACACAGAAGCATTCTGAGAAACATCCTTGTGAGGTGTGCACTGAAGTCACAGAGTTGAAACTGTCTTTTGATTCAGCAGTTTTGAATCTCTCTTTTTGCAGAATCTGTGAGTGGATATTTGGAGCGCTTTGAGGCCTACTGTGGAAAACCAAATATCTTCACATAAAAACTACACAGAAGCATCCTGAGAAACTTTTTTTGTGATGTGGTCTTTCAGCTAATGGAGTAGAAACTATCTTTTGATTGAGCAGTTTTGAATCTCTCTTTTTGCAGAATCTACGAGTGGATAATTGGAGAACTTTGAGGCGTACTTTGGAAAATCGAATATCTTCGCATAAAAACTACACAGAAGCATTCTGAGAAACTTCTCTGTCATACGTACATTCATCTCACAGGGTTGATCCTATTTCATGATTGAGCAGTTTTGGAACACTCTTTTTGTAGAATCTGCAAGTGAATATTTGGAGCTCCTTGGGGCCTACTGTGGAAAAACAAATATCTTCACATAAAAACTACACAGAAGCATTCTGAGAAACTACTTTGTGATGTGTGCATTCATCCCACAGAGTAGAACCTTTCTTTTGATTGAGCAGTTTCGAAACACTCTTTTGGTGGAATCTGCAAGTGGACATTTGGAAAGCTTTGAGGCCTATTGTGGAAAGGGAAATATCTTCAAATAAAAACCACCCAGAAGTACTCTGTGAAACTTCTTTGCGATGTATGCATTCAACTCACAGTGTTGAACCTATGTTTTGATTGAGCGGTTTGGAATCTCTCTTTCTGTAGAATCTGCAAGTGAATATTTGGAGCCCTATTTCGCCCTATACTGGAAAAGCAATTATCTTCAAATAAAAACTGCACAGAAGCATTCAGAGAAACTTCTTTGAGATGAATGCATTCATGACACAGAGTTGAAACTTTGTTTTGATTTAGGAGTTTTGAGACAATCTTTCCGTAGAATCTTGAAGTGAATATTTGGAGGGCTTGGAGTTCTGTTTTAGAGAAGAAGATATCTTCATCAAAAACTGCACAGAAGCTTTCTGAGAAACTTCTTTGTGATGTGTGCATTCAACTATCGGAGTTGAACCTATCTTATGATTGAGCAGTTTGGAAACACTCTTTGTAGAGTCTGCAAGTGGATATTTACAGAGATTTGAGGCCTATTGTGGAAAAGGAAGTATCTTCACATAAAAACCACACAGAAGCACTCTGAAAAACATCTTTGGGATGTGTGCATTCAACTAACCGTGTTGAAACAATGTTTTGATTGAGCAGCTTAGAATCTCTCTTTTTGTAGGAAATGCAAGTGGATATTTGGAGCCCCATTTCGCCCTATGGTGGAAAACGAAACATACTCACAAAAAAGCTGCAGAGAAGCATTCTGAGAAACTTCTTTGCGATGTTGGCATTCAACTCACAGAGTCGAATCTATCTTTTGATAGAGCAGTTTTGTATCTCTCTTTTTGCAGAATCTGCAAGTGGATATTTGGAAAGCTTTGAGGCCTATTGTGGAAAGGGAAATATCCTCAAATAAAAACTACCCAGAAGCACTCTGTGAAACTTCTTTGTGATGTGTGCATTCAACTCACAGTGTTGAACCTATGTTTTGATTGAGCAGTTTGGAATCTCTCCTTTTGTAGAATCTGCAAGTGAATATTTGGAGCCCTATTTCGCCCTATACTGGAAAAGCAAATATCTTCAAATAAAAACTACACAGAGGCATTCAGAGAAACTTCTCTGTGATGAGTGCATTCATCACACAGAGTTGAACATTTGTTTAGATTTAGCAGTGTTGAGACAATCTTTCCGTAGAATCTTGAAGTGAATATTTGGAGGGCTTTGAGACCTGCTTTGGAGAAGGAGATATCTTCATATAAAAACTACACAGAAGCTTTCTGAGAAACACCCTTGTGAGGTGTGCATTGAAGTCACAGAGTTAAACCTATCTTTTGATTCAGCAGATTTGAATCTCTCTTTTTGCAGAATCTGCGAGTGGATATTTGGAGTGCTTGGAAGCCTGCTGTGGAAAATCAAATTCTTCACAAAAAAAACTACACAGAAGCATTCTGAGAAACTTCTTTGTGATGTGTGCATTGATCTCACAGAGTTGAAAGTTTATTTTGATTGAGCTGTTTTGAAACACTCTTTTTCTAGAATCTGCAAGTGGATAATTGGGGAGATTTGAGGCATATTGTGGAAAAGCAAATATCTTCATATAGAAACTATACAGAAACCTTCTGAGAAACATCTTTGTGATGTGTGCATTCAGCTCACAGAGCTGGACCTAACTTTTGAGTGACCAGTTTTGAATCTCTCTTTTTGTACAATATGCAAGTGGATATTTGGAGCGATTTGAGGCCTACATTTGAAAATCAAATATCTTCCCTTAAAAACTACACAGAAACATTCTCAGAAATTGTTTGTCATGTGTGCTTTCCAATTACCAAGTTGAACCTATCTTGTGATTGAGCAGTTTTGAATCTCTCTTTTTGTGGAATCGGCAAGTGGATATTTTTAGCCCTTTGCGGACTGTGGTGGAAAAGGAATTATCTTCAAATCAATTCTACACAGAAGCATTCAGACAAACTTCTTTGTGATGAGTGCATTGGTCACACAGAATTGAACCTTCCCTTTGATTGAGCAATTCTGAAACACTCTTTTGGAGGGTCTGCAAGTGGACATTTTAGAGCTTTGGGACAACTGTGGAAAAGTAAATATCTTCACATAAAAACTACACGGAAGCATTCTGAGAAACTTCTTTGGAGGTGTGCATTCAACACACAGAGTTGAACCTATCTTTTCATTGAGCAGTTTTGAATCTCTCATTTTGTAGACTCTGCTCGCAGATATTTGGAGAGCTTTGAGGCCTATTGTGGAAAAGGAAATATCTTCACATAAAAACACACAGAAGCACTCTGAGAAACTTCTTTGTGAGGTGTGCTTTCAACTCACAGAGTTGAACCTATCTTTTGATTGAGAAGTTTTGAATCTCTCTTTTTGTAGAAGCTGCATGTGGATATTTGGAGACGTTTGTGGCCTATGGTAGAAAAGGAAATATCTTCAAATAAAAACTAGACAGACGCATTTTGAGAAAATTCTCTGTGCTGTGTGCATTCATATCACATGGTTGAAACTACCTTTGGATTGAGCAGTTTTGAATCTCACTTTTTGTACCATCTGCAATGGATATTTGGAGCCCTTTCTGGTCTGTGGTGGAAAAGGAACTATCCTCAAATAGAAACTACACAGAAGTACTCTGAGAAACTTCTTTGTGATGTGGGCATTCATCTCACAGAGTTGAACCTTTGGTTTGATTGAGCAGTTTTGAGACAATCTTTCCATAGAATCTGGAAGTGAATATTTGGAGAACTTTGAGATCCATTTTGGAGAAGGAGATATCTTTATATGAAAACTACACAGAAGCATTCTGAGAAACATCCTTGTGAGGTGTGCACTGAAGTCACAGAGTTGAAACTGTCTTTTGATTCAGCAGTTTTGAATCTCTCTTTTTGCAGAATCTGTGAGTGGATATTTGGAGCGCTTTGAGGCCTACTGTGGAAAACCAAATATCTTCACATAAAAACTACACAGAAGCATCCTGAGAAACTTTTTTTGTGATGTGGTCTTTCAGCTAATGGAGTAGAAACTATCTTTTGATTGAGCAGTTTTGAATCTCTCTTTTTGCAGAATCTACGAGTGGATAATTGGAGAACTTTGAGGCGTACTGTGGAAAATCGAATATCTTCGCATAAAAACTACACAGAAGCATTCTGAGAAACTTCTCTGTCATACGTACATTCATCTCACAGGGTTGATCCTATTTCATGATTGAGCAGTTTTGGAACACTCTTTTTGTAGAATCTGCAAGTGAATATTTGGAGCTCTTTGGGGCCTACTGTGGAAAAACAAATATCTTCACATAAAAACTACACAGAAGCATTCTGAGAAACTACTTTGTGATGTGTGCATTCATCCCACAGAGTAGAACCTTTCTTTTGATTGAGCAGTTTCGAAACACTCTTTTGGTGGAATCTGCAAGTGGACATTTGGAAAGCTTTGAGGCCTATTGTGGAAAGGGAAATATCTTCAAATAAAAACCACCCAGAAGTACTCTGTGAAACTTCTTTGCGATGTATGCATTCAACTCACAGTGTTGAACCTATGTTTTGATTGAGCAGTTTGGAATCTCTCTTTCTGTAGAATCTGCAAGTGAATATTTGGAGCCCTATTTCGCCCTATACTGGAAAAGCAATTATCTTCAAATAAAAACTGCACAGAAGCATTCAGAGAAAGTTCTTTGAGATGAATGCATTCATGACACAGAGTTGAAACTTTGTTTTGATTTAGGAGTTTTGAGACAATCTTTCCGTAGAATCTTGAAGTGAATATTTGGAGGGCTTGGAGTTCTGTTTTAGAGAAGGAGATATCTTCATCAAAAACTACACAGAAGCTTTCTGAGAAACTTCTTTGTGATGTGTGCATTCAACTATCGGAGTTGAACCTATCTTATGATTGAGCAGTTTGGAAACACTCTTTGTAGAGTCTGCAAGTGGATATTTACAGAGATTTGAGGCCTATTGTGGAAAAGGAAGTATCTTCACATAAAAACCACACAGAAGCACTCTGAAAAACATCTTTGGGATGTGTGCATTCAACTAACCGTGTTGAAACAATGTTTTGATTGAGCAGCTTAGAATCTCTCTTTTTGTAGGAAATGCAAGTGGATATTTGGAGCCCCATTTCGCCCTATGGTGGATAACGAAACATACTCACAAAAAAGCTGCAGAGAAGCATTCTGAGAAACTTCTTTGCGATGTTGGCATTCAACTCACAGAGTCGAATCTATCTTTTGATAGAGCAGTTTTGTATCTCTCTTTTTGCAGAATCTGCAAGTGGATATTTGGAAAGCTTTGAGGCCTATTGTGGAAAGGGAAATATCCTCAAATAAAAACTACCCAGAAGCACTCTGTGAAACTTCTTTGTGATGTGTGCATTCAACTCACAGTGTTGAACCTATGTTTTGATTGAGCAGTTTGGAATCTCTCCTTTTGTAGAATCTGCAAGTGAATATTTGGAGCCCTATTTCGCCCTATACTGGAAAAGCAAATATCTTCAAATAAAAACTACACAGAGGCATTCAGAGAAACTTCTCTGTGATGAGTGCATTCATCACACAGAGTTGAACATTTGTTTAGATTTAGCAGTGTTGAGACAATCTTTCCGTAGAATCTTGAAGTGAATATTTGGAGGGCTTTGAGACCTGCTTTGGAGAAGGAGATATCTTCATATAAAAACTACACAGAAGCATTCTGAGAAACTTCTTTGTGATGTGTGCATTGATCTCACAGAGTTGAAAGTTTATTTGGATTGAGCTGTTTTGAAACACTCTTTTTCTAGAATCTGCAAGTGGATAATTGGGGAGATTTGAGGCATATTGTGGAAAAGCAAATATCTTCATATAGAAACTATTCAGAAACCTTCTGAGAAACATCTTTGTGATGTGTGCATTCAGCTCACAGAGCTGGACCTAACTTTTGAGTGACCAGTTTTGAATCTCTCTTTTTGTACAATATGCAAGTGGATATTTGGAGCGATTTGAGGCCTACATTTGAAAATCAAATATCTTCCCTTAAAAACTACACAGAAACATTCTCAGAAATTGTTTGTCATGTGTGCTTTCCAATTACCAAGTTGAACCTATCTTGTGATTGAGCAGTTTTGAATCTCTCTTTTTGTGGAATCGGCAAGTGGATATTTTTAGCCCTTTGCGGACTGTGGTGGAAAAGGAATTATCTTCAAATCAATTCTACACAGAAGCATTCAGACAAACTTCTTTGTGATGAGTGCATTGGTCACACAGAATTGAACCTTCCCTTTGATTGAGCAATTCTGAAACACTCTTTTGGAGGGCCTGCAAGTGGACATATTAGAGCTTTGGGACAACTGTGGAAAAGTAAATATCTTCACATAAAAACTACACGGAAGCATTCTGAGAAACTTCTTTGGAGGTGTGCATTCAACTCACAGAGTTGAACCTATCTTTTCATTGAGCAGTTTTGAATCTCTCATTTTGTAGACTCTGCTCGCAGATATTTGGAGAGCTTTGAGGCCTATTGTGGAAAAGGAAATATCTTCACATAAAAACACACAGAAGCACTCTGAGAAACTTCTTTGTGAGGTGTGCTTTCAACTCACAGAGTTGAACCTATCTTTTGATTGAGAAGTTTTGAATCTCTCTTTTTGTAGAAGCTGCATGTGGATATTTGGAGACGTTTGTGGCCTATGGTAGAAAAGGAAATATCTTCAAATAAAAACTAGACAGACGCATTTTGAGAAAATTCTCTGTGCTGTGTGCATTCATATCACATGGTTGAAACTACCTTTGGATTGAGCAGTTTTGAATCTCACTTTTTGTACCATCTGCAATGGATATTTGGAGCCCTTTCTGGTCTGTGGTGGAAAAGGAACTATCCTCAAATAGAAACTACACAGAAGTACTCTGAGAAACTTCTTTGTGATGTGGGCATTCATCTCACAGAGTTGAACCTTTGGTTTGATTGAGCAGTTTTGAGACAATCTTTCCATAGAATCTGGAAGTGAATATTTGGAGAACTTTGAGATCCATTTTGGAGAAGGAGATATCTTTATATAAAAACTACACAGAAGCATTCTGAGAAACATCCTTGTGAGGTGTGCACTGAAGTCACAGAGTTGAAACTGTCTTTTGATTCAGCAGTTTTGAATCTCTCTTTTTGCAGAATCTGTGAGTGGATATTTGGAGCGCTTTGAGGCCTACTGTGGAAAACCAAATATCTTCACATAAAAACTACACAGAAGCATCCTGAGAAACTTTTTTTGTGATGTGGTCTTTCAGCTAATGGAGTAGAAACTATCTTTTGATTGAGCAGTTTTGAATCTCTCTTTTTGCAGAATCTACGAGTGGATAATTGGAGAACTTTGAGGCGTACTGTGGAAAATCGAATATCTTCGCATAAAAACTACACAGAAGCATTCTGAGAAACTTCTCTGTCATACGTACATTCATCTCACAGGGTTGATCCTATTTCATGATTGAGCAGTTTTGGAACACTCTTTTTGTAGAATCTGCAAGTGAATATTTGGAGCTCTTTGGGGCCTACTGTGGAAAAACAAATATCTTCACATAAAAACTACACAGAAGCATTCTGAGAAACTACTTTGTGATGTGTGCATTCATCCCACAGAGTAGAACCTTTCTTTTGATTGAGCAGTTTCGAAACACTCTTTTGGTGGAATCTGCAAGTGGACATTTGGAAAGCTTTGAGGCCTATTGTGGAAAGGGAAATATCTTCAAATAAAAACCACCCAGAAGTACTCTGTGAAACTTCTTTGCGATGTATGCATTCAACTCACAGTGTTGAACCTATGTTTTGATTGAGCAGTTTGGAATCTCTCTTTCTGTAGAATCTGCAAGTGAATATTTGGAGCCCTATTTCGCCCTATACTGGAAAGGCAATTATCTTCAAATAAAAACTGCACAGAAGCATTCAGAGAAAGTTCTTTGAGATGAATGCATTCATGACACAGAGTTGAAACTTTGTTTTGATTTAGGAGTTTTGAGACAATCTTTCCGTAGAATCTTGAAGTGAATATTTGGAGGGCTTGGAGTTCTGTTTTAGAGAAGGAGATATCTTCATCAAAAACTACACAGAAGCTTTCCGAGAAACTTCTTTGTGATGTGTGCATTCAACTATCGGAGTTGAACCTATCTTATGATTGAGGAGTTTGGAAACACTCTTTGTAGAGTCTGCAAGTGGATATTTACAGAGATTTGAGGCCTATTGTGGAAAAGGAAGTATCTTCACATAAAAACCACACAGAAGCACTCTGAAAAACATCTTTGGGATGTGTGCATTCAACTAACCGTGTTGAAACAATGTTTTGATTGAGCAGCTTAGAATCTCTCTTTTTGTAGGAAATGCAAGTGGATATTTGGAGCCCCATTTCGCCCTATGGTGGAAAACGAAACATACTCACAAAAAAGCTGCAGAGAAGCATTCTGAGAAACTTCTTTGCGATGTTGGCATTCAACTCACAGAGTCGAATCTATCTTTTGATAGAGCAGTTTTGTATCTCTCTTTTTGCAGAATCTGCAAGTGGATATTTGGAAAGCTTTGAGGCCTATTGTGGAAAGGGAAATATCCTCAAATAAAAACTACCCAGAAGCACTCTGTGAAACTTCTTTGTGATGTGTGCATTCAACTCACAGTGTTGAACCTATGTTTTGATTGAGCAGTTTGGAATCTCTCCTTTTGTAGAATCTGCAAGTGAATATTTGGAGCCCTATTTCGCCCTATACTGGAAAAGCAAATATCTTCAAATAAAAACTACACAGAGGCATTCAGAGAAACTTCTCTGTGATGAGTGCATTCATCACACAGAGTTGAACATTTGTTTAGATTTAGCAGTGTTGAGACAATCTTTCCGTAGAATCTTGAAGTGAATATTTGGAGGGCTTTGAGACCTGCTTTGGAGAAGGAGATATCTTCATATAAAAACTACACAGAAGCTTTCTGAGAAACACCCTTGTGAGGTGTGCATTGAAGTCACAGAGTTAAACCTATCTTTTGATTCAGCAGATTTGAATCTCTCTTTTTGCAGAATCTGCGAGTGGATATTTGGAGTGCTTGGAAGCCTGCTGTGGAAAATCAAATATCTTCACAAAAAAAACTACACAGAAGCATTCTGAGAAACTTCTTTGTGATGTGTGCATTGATCTCACAGAGTTGAAAGTTTATTTTGATTGAGCTGTTTTGAAACACTCTTTTTCTAGAATCTGCAAGTGCATAATTGGGGAGATTTGAGGCATATTGTGGAAAAGCAAATATCTTCATATAAAAACTATACAGAAACCTTCTGAGAAACATCTTTGTGATGTGTGCATTCAGCTCACAGAGCTGGACCTAACTTTTGAGTGACCAGTTTTGAATCTCTCTTTTTGTACAATATGCAAGTGGATATTTGGAGCGATTTGAGGCCTACATTTGAAAATCAAATATCTTCCCTTAAAAACTACACAGAAACATTCTCAGAAATTGTTTGTCATGTGTGCTTTCCAATTACCAAGTTGAACCTATCTTGTGATTGAGCAGTTTTGAATCTCTCTTTTTGTGGAATCGGCAAGTGGATATTTTTAGCCCTTTGCGGACTGTGGTGGAAAAGGAATTATCTTCAAATCAATTCTACACAGAAGCATTCAGACAAACTTCTTTGTGATGAGTGCATTGGTCACACAGAATTGAACCTTCCCTTTGATTGAGCAATTCTGAAACACTCTTTTGGAGGGTCTGCAAGTGGACATTTTAGAGCTTTGGGACAACTGTGGAAAAGTAAATATCTTCACATAAAAACTACACGGAAGCATTCTGAGAAACTTCTTTGGAGGTGTGCATTCAACTCACAGAGTTGAACCTATCTTTTCATTGAGCAGTTTTGAATCTCTCATTTTGTAGACTCTGCTCACAGATATTTGGAGAGCTTTGAGGCCTATTGTGGAAAAGGAAATATCTTCACATAAAAACACACAGAAGCACTCTGAGAAACTTCTTTGTGAGGTGTGCTTTCAACTCACAGAGTTGAACCTATCTTTTGATTGAGAAGTTTGGAATCTCTCTTTTTGTAGAAGCTGCATGTGGATATTTGGAGACGTTTGTGGCCTATGGTAGAAAAGGAAATATCTTCAAATAAAAACTAGACAGACGCATTTTGAGAAAATTCTCTGTGCTGTGTGCATTCATATCACATGGTTGAAACTACCTTTGGATTGAGCAGTTTTGAATCTCACTTTTTGTACCATCTGCAATGGATATTTGGAGCCCTTTCTGGTCTGTGGTGGAAAAGGAACTATCCTCAAATAGAAACTACACAGAAGTACTCTGAGAAACTTCTTTGTGATGTGGGCATTCATCTCACAGAGTTGAACCTTTGGTTTGATTGAGCAGTTTTGAGACAATCTTTCCATAGAATCTGGAAGTGAATATTTGGAGAACTTTGAGATCCATTTTGGAGAAGGAGATATCTTTATATGAAAACTACACAGAAGCATTCTGAGAAACATCCTTGTGAGGTGTGCACTGAAGTCACAGAGTTGAAACTGTCTTTTGATTCAGCAGTTTTGAATCTCTCTTTTTGCAGAGTCTGTGAGCGGATATTTGGAGCGCTTTGAGGCCTACTGTGGAAAACCAATATATGTTCACATAAAAACTACACAGAAGCATCCTGAGAAACTTTTTTTGTGATGTGGTCTTTCAGCTAATGGAGTAGAAACTATCTTTTGATTGAGCAGTTTTGAATCTCTCTTTTTGCAGAATCTACGAGTGGATAATTGGAGAACTTTGAGGCGTACTGTGGAAAATCGAATATCTTCGCATAAAAACTACACAGAAGCATTCTGAGAAACTTCTCTGTCATACGTACATTCATCTCACAGGGTTGATCCTATTTCATGATTGAGCAGTTTCGGAACACTCTTTTTGTAGAATCTGCAAGTGAATATTTGGAGCTCCTTGGGGCCTACTGTGGAAAAACAAATATCTTCACATAAAAACTACACAGAAGCATTCTGAGAAACTACTTTGTGATGTGTGCATTCATCCCACAGAGTAGAACCTTTCTTTTGATTGAGCAGTTTCGAAACACTCTTTTGGTGGAATCTGCAAGTGGACATTTGGAACGCTTTGAGGCCTATTGTGGAAAGGGAAATATCTTCAAATAAAAACCACCCAGAAGTACTCTGTGAAACTTCTTTGCGATGTATGCATTCAACTCACAGTGTTGAACCTATGTTTTGATTGAGCAGTTTGGAATCTCTCTTTCTGTAGAATCTGCAAGTGAATATTTGGAGCCCTATTTCGCCCTATACTGGAAAAGCAATTATCTTCAAATAAAAACTGCACAGAAGCACTCAGAGAAACGTCTTTGTGATGAATGCATTCATCACACAGAGTTGAACCTTTGTTTTGATTTAGCAGTTTGAGACAATCTTTCCGTAGAATCTTGAAGTGAATATTTGGAGGGCTTGGAGTTCTGTTTTAGAGAAGAAGATATCTTCATCAAAAACTACACAGAAGCTTTCTGAGAAACTTCTTTGTGATGTGTGCATTCAACTATCGGAGTTGAACCTATCTTATGATTGAGCAGTTTGGAAACACTCTTTGTAGAGTCTGCAAGTGGATATTTACAGAGATTTGAGGCCTATTGTGGAAAAGGAAGTATCTTCACATAAAAACCACACAGAAGCACTCTGAAAAACATCTTTGGGATGTGTGCATTCAACTAACCGTGTTGAAACAATGTTTTGATTGAGCAGCTTAGAATCTCTCTTTTTGTAGGAAATGCAAGTGGATATTTGGAGCCCCATTTCGCCCTATGGTGGAAAACGAAACATACTCACAAAAAAGCTGCAGAGAAGCATTCTGAGAAACTTCTTTGCGATGTTGGCATTCAACTCACAGAGTCGAATCTATCTTTTGATAGAGCAGTTTTGTATCTCTCTTTTTGCAGAATCTGCAAGTGGATATTTGGAAAGCTTTGAGGCCTATTGTGGAAAGGGAAATATCCTCAAATAAAAACTACCCAGAAGCACTCTGTGAAACTTCTTTGTGATGTGTGCATTCAACTCACAGTGTTGAACCTATGTTTTGATTGAGCAGTTTGGAATCTCTCCTTTTGTAGAATCTGCAAGTGAATATTTGGAGCCCTATTTCGCCCTATACTGGAAAAGCAAATATCTTCAAATAAAAACTACACAGAGGCATTCAGAGAAACTTCTCTGTGATGAGTGCATTCATCACACAGAGTTGAACATTTGTTTAGATTTAGCAGTGTTGAGACAATCTTTCCGTAGAATCTTGAAGTGAATATTTGGAGGGCTTTGAGACCTGCTTTGGAGAAGGAAATATCTTCATATAAAAACTACACAGAAGCTTTCTGAGAAACACCCTTGTGAGGTGTGCATTGAAGTCACAGAGTTAAACCTATCTTTTGATTCAGCAGATTTGAATCTCTCTTTTTGCAGAATCTGCGAGTGGATATTTGGAGTGCTTGGAAGCCTGCTGTGGAAAATCAAATATCTTCACAAAAAAAACTACACAGAAGCATTCTGAGAAACTCCTTTGTGATGTGTGCATTGATCTCACAGAGTTGAAAGTTTATTTTGATTGAGCTGTTTTGAAACACTCTTTTTCTAGAATCTGCAAGTGGATAATTGGGGAGATTTGAGGCATATTGTGGAAAAGCCAATATCTTCATATAGAAACTATACAGAAACCTTCTGAGAAACATCTTTGTGATGTGTGCATTCAGCTCACAGAGCTGGACCTAACTTTTGAGTGACCAGTTTTGAATCTCTCTTTTTGTACAATATGCAAGTGGATATTTGGAGCGATTTGAGGCCTACATTTGAAAATCAAATATCTTCCCTTAAAAACTACACAGAAACATTCTCAGAAATTGTTTGTCATGTGTGCTTTCCAATTACCAAGTTGAACCTATCTTGTGATTGAGCAGTTTTGAATCTCTCTTTTTGTGGAATCGGCAAGTGGATATTTTTAGCCCTTTGCGGACTGTGGTGGAAAAGGAATTATCTTCAAATCAATTCTACACAGAAGCATTCAGACAAACTTCTTTGTGATGAGTGCATTGGTCACACAGAATTGAACCTTCCCTTTGATTGAGCAATTCTGAAACACTCTTTTGGAGGGTCTGCAAGTGGACATTTTAGAGCTTTGGGACAACTGTGGAAAAGTAAATATCTTCACATAAAAACTACACGGAAGCATTCTGAGAAACTTCTTTGGAGGTGTGCATTCAACTCACAGAGTTGAACCTATCTTTTCATTGAGCAGTTTTGAATCTCTCATTTTGTAGACTCTGCTCGCAGATATTTGGAGAGCTTTGAGGCCTATTGTGGAAAAGGAAATATCTTCACATAAAAACACACAGAAGCACTCTGAGAAACTTCTTTGTGAGGTGTGCTTTCAACTCACAGAGTTGAACCTATCTTTTGATTGAGAAGTTTTGAATCTCTCTTTTTGTAGAAGCTGCATGTGGATATTTGGAGACGTTTGTGGCCTATGGTAGAAAAGGAAATATCTTCAAATAAAAACTAGACAGACGCATTTTGAGAAAATTCTCTGTGCTGTGTGCATTCATATCACATGGTTGAAACTACCTTTGGATTGAGCAGTTTTGAATCTCACATTTTGTACCATCTGCAATGGATATTTGGAGCCCTTTCTGGTCTGTGGTGGAAAAGGAACTATCCTCAAATAGAAACTACACAGAAGTACTCTGAGAAACTTCTTTGTGATGTGGGCATTCATCTCACAGAGTTGAACCTTTGGTTTGATTGAGCAGTTTTGAGACAATCTTTCCATAGAATCTGGAAGTGAATATTTGGAGAACTTTGAGATCCATTTTGGAGAAGGAGATATCTTTATATGAAAACTACACAGAAGCATTCTGAGAAACATCCTTGTGAGGTGTGCACTGAAGTCACAGAGTTGAAACTGTCTTTTGATTCAGCAGTTTTGAATCTCTCTTTTTGCAGAATCTGTGAGTGGATATTTGGAGCGCTTTGAGGCCTACTGTGGAAAACCAAATATGTTCACATAAAAACTACACAGAAGCATCCTGAGAAACTTTTTTTGTGATGTGGTCTTTCAGCTAATGGAGTAGAAACTATCTTTTGATTGAGCAGTTTTGAATCTCTCTTTTTGCAGAATCTACGAGTGGATAATTGGAGAACTTTGAGGCGTACTGTGGAAAATCGAATATCTTCGCATAAAAACTACACAGAAGCATTCTGAGAAACTTCTCTGTCATACGTACATTCATCTCACAGGGTTGATCCTATTTCATGATTGAGCAGTTTTGGAACACTCTTTTTGTAGAATCTGCAAGTGAATATTTGGAGCTCTTTGGGGCCTACTGTGGAAAAACAAATATCTTCACATAAAAACTACACAGAAGCATTCTGAGAAACTACTTTGTGATGTGTGCATTCATCCCACAGAGTAGAAACTTACTTTTGATTGAGCAGTTTCGAAACACTCTTTTGGTGGAATCTGCAAGTGGACATTTGGAAAGCTTTGAGGCCTATTGTGGAAAGGGAAATATCTTCAAATAAAAACCACCCAGAAGTACTCTGTGAAACTTCTTTGCGATGTATGCATTCAACTCACAGTGTTGAACCTAAGTTTTGATTGAGCAGTTTGGAATCTCTCTTTCTGTAGAATCTGCAAGTGAATATTTGGAGCCCTATTTCGCCCTATACTGGAAAAGCAATTATCTTCAAATAAAAACTGCACAGAAGCATTCAGAGAAACTTCTTTGACATGAATGCATTCATGACACAGAGTTGAAACTTTGTTTTGATTTAGGAGTTTTGAGACAATCTTTCCGTAGAATCTTGAAGTGAATATTTGGAGGGCTTGGAGTTCTGTTTTAGAGAAGGAGATATCTTCATCAAAAACTACACAGAAGCTTTCTGAGAAACTTCTTTGTGATGTGTGCATTCAACTATCGGAGTTGAACCTATCTTATGATTGAGCAGTTTGGAAACACTCTTTGTAGAGTCTGCAAGTGGATATTTACAGAGATTTGAGGCCTATTGTGGAAAAGGAAGTATCTTCACATAAAAACCACACAGAAGCACTCTGAAAAACATCTTTGGGATGTGTGCATTCAACTAACCGTGTTGAAACAATGTTTTGATTGAGCAGCTTAGAATCTCTCTTTTTGTAGGAAATGCAAGTGGATATTTGGAGCCCCATTTCGCCCTATGGTGGAAAACGAAACATACTCACAAAAAAGCTGCAGAGAAGCATTCTGAGAAACTTCTTTGCGATGTTGGCATTCAACTCACAGAGTCGAATCTATCTTTTGATAGAGCAGTTTTGTATCTCTCTTTTTGCAGAATCTGCAAGTGGATATTTGGAAAGCTTTGAGGCCTATTGTGGAAAGGGAAATATCCTCAAATAAAAACTACCCAGAAGCACTCTGTGAAACTTCTTTGTGATGTGTGCATTCAACTCACAGTGTTGAACCTATGTTTTGATTGAGCAGTTTGGAATCTCTCCTTTTGTAGAATCTGCAAGTGAATATTTGGAGCCCTATTTCGCCCTATACTGGAAAAGCAAATATCTTCAAATAAAAACTACACAGAGGCATTCAGAGAAACTTCTCTGTGATGAGTGCATTCATCACACAGAGTTGAACATTTGTTTAGATTTAGCAGTGTTGAGACAATCTTTCCGTAGAATCTTGAAGTGAATATTTGGAGGGCTTTGAGACCTGCTTTGGAGAAGGAGATATCTTCATATAAAAACTACACAGAAGCTTTCTGAGAAACACCCTTGTGAGGTGTGCATTGAAGTCACAGAGTTAAACCTATCTTTTGATTCAGCAGATTTGAATCTCTCTTTTTGCAGAATCTGCGAGTGGATATTTGGAGTGCTTGGAAGCCTGCTGTGGAAAATCAAATATCTTCACAAAAAAAACTACACAGAAGCATTCTGAGAAACTCCTTTGTGATGTGTGCATTGATCTCACAGAGTTGAAAGTTTATTTTGATTGAGCTGTTTTGAAACACTCTTTTTCTAGAATCTGCAAGTGGATAATTGGGGAGATTTGAGGCATATTGTGGAAAAGCAAATATCTTCATATAAAAACTATACAGAAACCTTCTGAGAAACATCTTTGTGATGTGTGCATTCAGCTCACAGAGCTGGACCTAACTTTTGAGTGACCAGTTTTGAATCTCTCTTTTTGTACAATATGCAAGTGGATATTTGGAGCGATTTGAGGCCTACATTTGAAAATCAAATATCTTCCCTTAAAAACTACACAGAAACATTCTCAGAAATTGTTTGTCATGTGTGCTTTCCAATTACCAAGTTGAACCTATCTTGTGATTGAGCAGTTTTGAATCTCTCTTTTTGTGGAATCGGCAAGTGGATATTTTTAGCCCTTTGCGGACTGTGGTGGAAAAGGAATTATCTTCAAATCAATTCTACACAGAAGCATTCAGACAAACTTCTTTGTGATGAGTGCATTGGTCACACAGAATTGAACCTTCCCTTTGATTGAGCAATTCTGAAACACTCTTTTGGAGGGTCTGCAAGTGGATATTTTAGAGCTTTGGGACAACTGTGGAAAAGTAAATATCTTCACATAAAAACTACACGGAAAGCATTCTGAGAAACTTCTTTGGAGGTGTGCATTCAACTCACAGAGTTGAACCTATCTTTTCATTGAGCAGTTTTGAATCTCTCATTTTGTAGACTCTGCTCGCAGATATTTGGAGAGCTTTGAGGCCTATTGTGGAAAAGGAAATATCTTCACATAAAAACACACAGAAGCACTCTGAGAAACTTCTCTGTGAGGTGTGCTTTCAACTCACAGAGTTGAACCTATCTTTTGATTGAGAACTTTTGAATCTCTCTTTTTGTAGAAGCTGCATGTGGATATTTGGAGACGTTTGTGGCCTATGGTAGAAAAGGAAATATCTTCAAATAAAAACTAGACAGACGCATTTTGAGAAAATTCTCTGTGCTGTGTGCATTCATATCACATGGTTGAAACTACCTTTGGATTGAGCAGTTTTGAATCTCACTTTTTGTACCATCTGCAATGGATATTTGGAGCCCTTTCTGGTCTGTGGTGGAAAAGGAACTATCCTCAAATAGAAACTACACAGAAGTACTCTGAGAAACTTCTTTGTGATGTGGGCATTCATCTCACAGAGTTGAACCTTTGGTTTGATTGAGCAGTTTTGAGACAATCTTTCCATAGAATCTGGAAGTGAATATTTGGAGAACTTTGAGATCCATTTTGGAGAAGGAGATATCTTTATATAAAAACTACACAGAAGCATTCTGAGAAACATCCTTGTGAGGTGTGCACTGAAGTCACAGAGTTGAAACTGTCTTTTGATTCAGCAGTTTTGAATCTCTCTTTTTGCAGAGTCTGTGAGCGGATATTTGGAGCGCTTTGAGGCCTACTGTGGAAAACCAAATATGTTCACATAAAAACTACACAGAAGCATCCTGAGAAACTTTTTTTGTGATGTGGTCTTTCAGCTAATGGAGTAGAAACTATCTTTTGATTGAGCAGTTTTGAATCTCTCTTTTTGCAGGATCTACGAGTGGATAATTGGAGAACTTTGAGGCGTACTGTGGAAAATCGAATATCTTCGCATAAAAACTACACAGAAGCATTCTGAGAAACTTCTCTGTCATACGTACATTCATCTCACAGGGTTGATCCTATTTCATGATTGAGCAGTTTTGGAACACTCTTTTTGTAGAATCTGCAAGTGAATATTTGGAGCTCTTTGGGGCCTACTGTGGAAAAACAAATATCTTCACATAAAAACTACACAGAAGCATTCTGAGAAACTACTTTGTGATGTGTGCATTCATCCCACAGAGTAGAACCTTTCTTTTGATTGAGCAGTTTCGAAACACTCTTTTGGTGGAATCTGCAAGTGGACATTTGGAAAGCTTTGAGGCCTATTGTGGAAAGGGAAATATCTTCAAATAAAAACCACCCAGAAGTACTCTGTGCAACTTCTTTGCGATGTATGCATTCAACTCACAGTGTTGAACCTATGTTTTGATTGAGCAGTTTGGAATCTCTCTTTCTGTAGAATCTGCAAGTGAATATTTGGAGCCCTATTTCGCCCTATACTGGAAAAGCAATTATCTTCAAATAAAAACTGCACAGAAGCACTCAGAGAAACTTCTTTGTGATGAATGCATTCATCACACAGAGTTGAACCTTTGTTTTGATTTAGCAGTTTGAGACAATCTTTCCGTAGAATCTTGAAGTGAATATTTGGAGGGCTTGGAGTTCTGTTTTAGAGAAGAAGATATCTTCATCAAAAACTACACAGAAGCTTTCCGAGAAACTTCTTTGTGATGTGTGCATTCAACTATCGGAGTTGAACCTATCTTATGATTGAGCAGTTTGGAAACACTCTTTGTAGAGTCTGCAAGTGGATATTTAAAGAGATTTGAGGCCTATTGTGGAAAAGGAAGTATCTTCACATAAAAACCACACAGAAGCACTCTGAAAAACATCTTTGGGATGTGTGCATTCAACTAACCGTGTTGAAACAATGTTTTGATTGAGCAGCTTAGAATCTCTCTTTTTGTAGGAAATGCAAGTGGATATTTGGAGCCCCATTTCGCCCTATGGTGGAAAACGAAACATACTCACAAAAAAGCTGCAGAGAAGCATTCTGAGAAACTTCTTTGCGATGTTGGCATTCAACTCACAGAGTCGAATCTATCTTTTGATAGAGCAGTTTTGTATCTCTCTTTTTGCAGAATCTGCAAGTGGATATTTGGAAAGCTTTGAGGCCTATTGTGGAAAGGGAAATATCCTCAAATAAAAACTACCCAGAAGCACTCTGTGAAACTTCTTTGTGATGTGTGCATTCAACTCACAGTGTTGAACCTATGTTTTGATTGAGCAGTTTGGAATCTCTCCTTTTGTAGAATCTGCAAGTGAATATTTGGAGCCCTATTTCGCCCTATACTGGAAAAGCAAATATCTTCAAATAAAAACTACACAGAGGCATTCAGAGAAACTTCTCTGTGATGAGTGCATTCATCACACAGAGTTGAACATTTGTTTAGATTTAGCAGTGTTGAGACAATCTTTCCGTAGAATCTTGAAGTGAATATTTGGAGGGCTTTGAGACCTGCTTTGGAGAAGGAGATATCTTCATATAAAAACTACACAGAAGCTTTCTGAGAAACACCCTTGTGAGGTGTGCATTGAAGTCACAGAGTTAAACCTATCTTTTGATTCAGCAGATTTGAATCTCTCTTTTTGCAGAATCTGCGAGTGGATATTTGGAGTGCTTGGAAGCCTGCTGTGGAAAATCAAATATCTTCACAAAAAAAACTACACAGAAGCATTCTGAGAAACTTCTTTGTGATGTGTGCATTGATCTCACAGAGTTGAAAGTTTATTTTGATTGAGCTGTTTTGAAACACTCTTTTTCTAGAATCTGCAAGTGGATAATTGGGGAGATTTGAGGCATATTGTGGAAAAGCAAATATCTTCATATAGAAACTATACAGAAACCTTCTGAGAAACATCTTTGTGATGTGTGCATTCAGCTCACAGAGCTGGACCTAACTTTTGAGTGACCAGTTTTGAATCTCTCTTTTTGTACAATATGCAAGTGGATATTTGGAGCGATTTGAGGCCTACATTTGAAAATCAAATATCTTCCCTTAAAAACTACACAGAAACATTCTCAGAAATTGTTTGTCATGTGTGCTTTCCAATTACCAAGTTGAACCTATCTTGTGATTGAGCAGTTTTGAATCTCTCTTTTTGTGGAATCGGCAAGTGGATATTTTTAGCCCTTTGCGGACTGTGGTGGAAAAGGAATTATCTTCAAATCAATTCTACACAGAAGCATTCAGACAAACTTCTTTGTGATGAGTGCATTGGTCACACAGAATTGAACCTTCCCTTTGATTGAGCAATTCTGAAACACTCTTTTGGAGGGTCTGCAAGTGGACATTTTAGAGCTTTGGGACAACTGTGGAAAAGTAAATATCTTCACATAAAAACTACACGGAAGCATTCTGAGAAACTTCTTTGGAGGTGTGCATTCAACTCACAGAGTTGAACCTATCTTTTCATTGAGCAGTTTTGAATCTCTCATTTTGTAGACTCTGCTCGCAGATATTTGGAGAGCTTTGAGGCCTATTGTGGAAAAGGAAATATCTTCACATAAAAACACACAGAAGCGTTCTGAGAAACTTCTTTGTGAGGTGTGCATTCAACCACAGAGTTGAACCTATCTTTTGATTGAGCAGTTTTGAATCTCTCTTTTTGTAGAAGCTGCATGTGGCTATTTGGAGACGTTTGTGGCCTATGGTGGAAAAGGAAATACCTTCAAATAAAAACTAGACAGAAGCATTCTGAGAAACTTCTTTGTGAGGTGTGCATTCAACCACAGAGTTGAACCTATCTTTTGATTGAGCAGTTTTGAATCTCTCTTTTTGTACCATCTGCAAGTGGATATTTGGAGCCCTTTGTGGTCTATGGTGGAAAAGGAACTATCCTCAAATAAAAACTACACAGAAGTATTCTGAGAAACTTCTTCGTGATGTGTGCATTCATCTCACAGAGTTGAACCTTTGTTTTGCTTGAGCAGTTTTGAGACCATCTTTCCATAGGATCTGGAAGTGAATATTTGGAGGGCTTTGAGATCTATTTTGGAGAAGGAGATATCTTCATATAAAAACTATACAGAAGCATTCTGAGAAACATCTTTGTGAGGTGTGCACTGAAGTCACAGAGTTAAAACTACCTTTTGATTCAGCAGTTTTGAATCTCTCTTTTTGCAGAATCTGTGAGTGAATATTTGGAGCGCTTTGTGGCCTACTGTGGAAAACCAAATATCTTCACATAAAAACTACACAGAAGCATTCTGAGAAACTTCTTTGTGATGTGGTCTTTCAACTAATAGAGTTGAACCTATCTTTCGATTGAGCAGTTTTGAATCTCTCTTTTTGCAGAATCTGCAAGTGGATATTTGGAGAACTTTGAGGTCTACTGTGGAAAATCAAATATCTTCCCATAAAAACTGCACAGAAGCATTCTGAGAAACTTCTTTGTCATACGTACATTCATCTCACAGGGTTGATCCTATTTTATTATTGAGCACTTTTGAAACACTCTTTTTGTAGAATCTGCAAGTGAATATTTGGAGCTCATTGGGGCCTACTGTGGAAAAACCAATATCTTCACATAAAAACTACACAGAAAGCATTCTGAGAAACTACTTTGTGATGTGTGCATTCATCCCACAGAGTAGAACCTTTCTTTTGATTGAGCAGTTTCAAAACACGCTTTTGGTGGAATCTGCAAGTGGACATTTGGAAAGCTTTGAGGCCTATTGTGGAAAGGGAAATATCTTCAAATAAAAACCACCCAGAAGTACTCTGTGAAACTTCTTTGCGATGTATGCATTCAACTCACAGTGTTGAACCTATGTTTTGATTGAGCAGTTTGGAATCTCTCTTTCTGTAGAATCTGCAAGTGAATATTTGGAGCCCTATTTCGCCCTATACTGGAAAAGCAATTATCTTCAAATAAAAACTGCACAGAAGCATTCAGAGAAAGTTCTTTGAAATGAATGCATTCATGACACAGAGTTGAAACTTTGTTTTGATTTAGGAGTTTTGAGACAATCTTTCCGTAGAATCTTGAAGTGAATATTTGGAGGGCTTGGAGTTCTGTTTTAGAGAAGGAGATATCTTCATCAAAAACTACACAGAAGCTTTCTGAGAAACTTCTTTGTGATGTGTGCATTCAACTATCGGAGTTGAACCTATCTTATGATTGAGCAGTTTGGAAACACTCTTTGTAGAGTCTGCAAGTGGATATTTACAGAGATTTGAGGCCTATTGTGGAAAAGGAAGTATCTTCACATAAAAACCACACAGAAGCACTCTGAAAAACATCTTTGGGATGTGTGCATTCAACTAACCGTGTTGAAACAATGTTTTGATTGAGCAGCTTAGAATCTCTCTTTTTGTAGGAAATGCAAGTGGATATTTGGAGCCCCATTTCGCCCTATGGTGGAAAACGAAACATACTCACAAAAAAGCTGCAGAGAAGCATTCTGAGAAACTTCTTTGCGATGTTGGCATTCAACTCACAGAGTCGAATCTATCTTTTGATAGAGCAGTTTTGTATCTCTCTTTTTGCAGAATCTGCAAGTGGATATTTGGAAAGCTTTGAGGCCTATTGTGGAAAGGGAAATATCCTCAAATAAAAACTACCCAGAAGCACTCTGTGAAACTTCTTTGTGATGTGTGCATTCAACTCACAGTGTTGAACCTATGTTTTGATTGAGCAGTTTGGAATCTCTCCTTTTGTAGAATCTGCAAGTGAATATTTGGAGCCCTATTTCGCCCTATACTGGAAAAGCAAATATCTTCAAATAAAAACTACACAGAGGCATTCAGAGAAACTTCTCTGTGATGAGTGCATTCATCACACAGAGTTGAACATTTGTTTAGATTTAGCAGTGTTGAGACAATCTTTCCGTAGAATCTTGAAGTGAATATTTGGAGGGCTTTGAGACCTGCTTTGGAGAAGGAGATATCTTCATATAAAAACTACACAGAAGCTTTCTGAGAAACACCCTTGTGAGGTGTGCATTGAAGTCACAGAGTTAAACCTATCTTTTGATTCAGCAGATTTGAATCTCTCTTTTTGCAGAATCTGCGAGTGGATATTTGGAGTGCTTGGAAGCCTGCTGTGGAAAATCAAATATCTTCACAAAAAAAACTACACAGAAGCATTCTGAGAAACTCCTTTGTGATGTGTGCATTGATCTCACAGAGTTGAAAGTTTATTTTGATTGAGCTGTTTTGAAACACTCTTTTTCTAGAATCTGCAAGTGGATAATTGGGGAGATTTGAGGCATATTGTGGAAAAGCCAATATCTTCATATAGAAACTATACAGAAACCTTCTGAGAAACATCTTTGTGATGTGTGCATTCAGCTCACAGAGCTGGACCTAACTTTTGAGTGACCAGTTTTGAATCTCTCTTTTTGTACAATATGCAAGTGGATATTTGGAGCGATTTGAGGCCTACATTTGAAAATCAAATATCTTCCCTTAAAAACTACACAGAAACATTCTCAGAAATTGTTTGTCATGTGTGCTTTCCAATTACCAAGTTGAACCTATCTTGTGATTGAGCAGTTTTGAATCTCTCTTTTTGTGGAATCGGCAAGTGGATATTTTTAGCCCTTTGCGGACTGTGGTGGAAAAGGAATTATCTTCAAATCAATTCTACACAGAAGCATTCAGACAAACTTCTTTGTGATGAGTGCATTGGTCACACAGAATTGAACCTTCCCTTTGATTGAGCAATTCTGAAACACTCTTTTGGAGGGTCTGCAAGTGG
Source organism: Homo sapiens (assembly GCF_000001405.40). Lineage (NCBI taxonomy): Eukaryota > Metazoa > Chordata > Mammalia > Primates > Hominidae > Homo > Homo sapiens. The sequence goes on from NC_000015.10 coordinate 18,325,952, forward strand.
ATATTTTAGAGCTTTGGGACAACTGTGGAAAAGTAAATATCTTCACATAAAAACTACACGGAAGCATTCTGAGAAACTTCTTTGGAGGTGTGCATTCAACTCACAGAGTTGAACCTATCTTTTCATTGAGCAGTTTTGAATCTCTCATTTTGTAGACTCTGCTCGCAGATATTTGGAGAGCTTTGAGGCCTATTGTGGAAAAGGAAATATCTTCACATAAAAACACACAGAAGCACTCTGAGAAACTTCTTTGTGAGGTGTGCTTTCAACTCACAGAGTTGAACCTATCTTTTGATTGAGAAGTTTTGAATCTCTCTTTTTGTAGAAGCTGCATGTGGATATTTGGAGACGTTTGTGGCCTATGGTAGAAAAGGAAATATCTTCAAATAAAAACTAGACAGACGCATTTTGGGAAAATTCTCTGTGCTGTGTGCATTCATATCACATGGTTGAAACTACCTTTGGATTGAGCAGTTTTGAATCTCACTTTTTGTACCATCTGCAATGGATATTTGGAGCCCTTTCTGGTCTGTGGTGGAAAAGGAACTATCCTCAAATAGAAACTACACAGAAGTACTCTGAGAAACTTCTTTGTGATGTGGGCATTCATCTCACAGAGTTGAACCTTTGGTTTGATTGAGCAGTTTTGAGACAATCTTTCCATAGAATCTGGAAGTGAATATTTGGAGAACTTTGAGATCCATTTTGGAGAAGGAGATATCTTTATATAAAAACTACACAGAAGCATTCTGAGAAACATCCTTGTGAGGTGTGCACTGAAGTCACAGAGTTGAAACTGTCTTTTGATTCAGCAGTTTTGAATCTCTCTTTTTGCAGAGTCTGTGAGCGGATATTTGGAGCGCTTTGAGGCCTACTGTGGAAAACCAAATATGTTCACATAAAAACTACACAGAAGCATCCTGAGAAACTTTTTTTGTGATGTGGTCTTTCAGCTAATGGAGTAGAAACTATCTTTTGATTGAGCAGTTTTGAATCTCTCTTTTTGCAGAATCTACGAGTGGATAATTGGAGAACTTTGAGGCGTACTGTGGAAAATCGAATATCTTCGCATAAAAACTACACAGAAGCATTCTGAGAAACTTCTCTGTCATACGTACATTCATCTCACAGGGTTGATCCTATTTCATGATTGAGCAGTTTTGGAACACTCTTTTTGTAGAATCTGCAAGTGAATATTTGGAGCTCCTTGGGGCCTACTGTGGAAAAACAAATATCTTCACATAAAAACTACACAGAAGCATTCTGAGAAACTACTTTGTGATGTGTGCATTCATCCCACAGAGTAGAACCTTTCTTTTGATTGAGCAGTTTCGAAACACTCTTTTGGTGGAATCTGCAAGTGGACATTTGGAAAGCTTTGAGGCCTATTGTGGAAAGGGAAATATCTTCAAATAAAAACCACCCAGAAGTACTCTGTGAAACTTCTTTGCGATGTATGCATTCAACTCACAGTGTTGAACCTATGTTTTGATTGAACAGTTTGGAATCTCTCTTTCTGTAGAATCTGCAAGTGAATATTTGGAGCCCTATTTCGCCCTATACTGGAAAAGCAATTATCTTCAAATAAAAACTGCACAGAAGCATTCAGAGAAACTTCTTTGAGATGAATGCATTCATGACACAGAGTTGAAACTTTGTTTTGATTTAGGAGTTTTGAGACAATCTTTCCGTAGAATCTTGAAGTGAATATTTGGAGGGCTTGGAGTTCTGTTTTAGAGAAGAAGATATCTTCATCAAAAACTACACAGAAGCTTTCTGAGAAACTTCTTTGTGATGTGTGCATTCAACTATCGGAGTTGAACCTATCTTATGATTGAGCAGTTTGGAAACACTCTTTGTAGAGTCTGCAAGTGGATATTTACAGAGATTTGAGGCCTATTGTGGAAAAGGAAGTATCTTCACATAAAAACCACACAGAAGCACTCTGAAAAACATCTTTGGGATGTGTGCATTCAACTAACCGTGTTGAAACAATGTTTTGATTGAGCAGCTTAGAATCTCTCTTTTTGTAGGAAATGCAAGTGGATATTTGGAGCCCCATTTCGCCCTATGGTGGAAAACGAAACATACTCACAAAAAAGCTGCAGAGAAGCATTCTGAGAAACTTCTTTGCGATGTTGGCATTCAACTCACAGAGTCGAATCTATCTTTTGATAGAGCAGTTTTGTATCTCTCTTTTTGCAGAATCTGCAAGTGGATATTTGGAAAGCTTTGAGGCCTATTGTGGAAAGGGAAATATCCTCAAATAAAAACTACCCAGAAGCACTCTGTGAAACTTCTTTGTGATGTGTGCATTCAACTCACAGTGTTGAACCTATGTTTTGATTGAGCAGTTTGGAATCTCTCCTTTTGTAGAATCTGCAAGTGAATATTTGGAGCCCTATTTCGCCCTATACTGGAAAAGCAAATATCTTCAAATAAAAACTACACAGAGGCATTCAGAGAAACTTCTCTGTGATGAGTGCATTCATCACACAGAGTTGAACATTTGTTTAGATTTAGCAGTGTTGAGACAATCTTTCCGTAGAATCTTGAAGTGAATATTTGGAGGGCTTTGAGACCTGCTTTGGAGAAGGAGATATCTTCATATAAAAACTACACAGAAGCTTTCTGAGAAACACCCTTGTGAGGTGTGCATTGAAGTCACAGAGTTAAACCTATCTTTTGATTCAGCAGATTTGAATCTCTCTTTTTGCAGAATCTGCGAGTGGATATTTGGAGTGCTTGGAAGCCTGCTGTGGAAAATCAAATATCTTCACAAAAAAAACTACACAGAAGCATTCTGAGAAACTTCTTTGTGATGTGTGCATTGATCTCACAGAGTTGAAAGTTTATTTTGATTGAGCTGTTTTGAAACACTCTTTTTCTAGAATCTGCAAGTGGATAATTGGGGAGATTTGAGGCATATTGTGGAAAAGCAAATATCTTCATATAGAAACTATACAGAAACCTTCTGAGAAACATCTTTGTGATGTGTGCATTCAGCTCACAGAGCTGGACCTAACTTTTGAGTGACCAGTTTTGAATCTCTCTTTTTGTACAATATGCAAGTGGATATTTGGAGCGATTTGAGGCCTACATTTGAAAATCAAATATCTTCCCTTAAAAACTACACAGAAACATTCTCAGAAATTGTTTGTCATGTGTGCTTTCCAATTACCAAGTTGAACCTATCTTGTGATTGAGCAGTTTTGAATCTCTCTTTTTGTGGAATCGGCAAGTGGATATTTTTAGCCCTTTGCGGACTGTGGTGGAAAAGGAATTATCTTCAAATCAATTCTACACAGAAGCATTCAGACAAACTTCTTTGTGATGAGTGCATTGGTCACACAGAATTGAACCTTCCCTTTGATTGAGCAATTCTGAAACACTCTTTTGGAGGGTCTGCAAGTGGACATTTTAGAGCTTTGGGACAACTGTGGAAAAGTAAATATCTTCACATAAAAACTACACGGAAGCATTCTGAGAAACTTCTTTGGAGGTGTGCATTCAACTCACAGAGTTGAACCTATCTTTTCATTGAGCAGTTTTGAATCTCTCATTTTGTAGACTCTGCTCGCAGATATTTGGAGAGCTTTGAGGCCTATTGTGGAAAAGGAAATATCTTCACATAAAAACACACAGAAGCACTCTGAGAAACTTCTCTGTGAGGTGTGCTTTCAACTCACAGAGTTGAACCTATCTTTTGATTGAGAAGTTTTGAATCTCTCTTTTTGTAGAAGCTGCATGTGGATATTTGGAGACGTTTGTGGCCTATGGTAGAAAAGGAAATATCTTCAAATAAAAACTAGACAGACGCATTTTGAGAAAATTCTCTGTGCTGTGTGCATTCATATCACATGGTTGAAACTACCTTTGGATTGAGCAGTTTTGAATCTCACTTTTTGTACCATCTGCAATGGATATTTGGAGCCCTTTCTGGTCTGTGGTGGAAAAGGAACTATCCTCAAATAGAAACTACACAGAAGTACTCTGAGAAACTTCTTTGTGATGTGGGCATTCATCTCACAGAGTTGAACCTTTGGTTTGATTGAGCAGTTTTGAGACAATCTTTCCATAGAATCTGGAAGTGAATATTTGGAGAACTTTGAGATCCATTTTGGAGAAGGAGATATCTTTATATAAAAACTACACAGAAGCATTCTGAGAAACATCCTTGTGAGGTGTGCACTGAAGTCACAGAGTTGAAACTGTCTTTTGATTCAGCAGTTTTGAATCTCTCTTTTTGCAGAATCTGTGAGTGGATATTTGGAGCGCTTTGAGGCCTACTGTGGAAAACCAAATATCTTCACATAAAAACTACACAGAAGCATCCTGAGAAACTTTTTTTGTGATGTGGTCTTTCAGCTAATGGAGTAGAAACTATCTTTTGATTGAGCAGTTTTGAATCTCTCTTTTTGCAGAATCTACGAGTGGATAATTGGAGAACTTTGAGGCGTACTGTGGAAAATCGAATATCTTCGCATAAAAACTACACAGAAGCATTCTGAGAAACTTCTCTGTCATACGTACATTCATCTCACAGGGTTGATCCTATTTCATGATGGAGCAGTTTTGGAACACTCTTTTTGTAGAATCTGCAAGTGAATATTTGGAGCTCTTTGGGGCCTACTGTGGAAAAACAAATATCTTCACATAAAAACTACACAGAAGCATTCTGAGAAACTACTTTGTGATGTGTGCATTCATCCCACAGAGTAGAACCTTTCTTTTGATTGAGCAGTTTCGAAACACTCTTTTGGTGGAATCTGCAAGTGGACATTTGGAAAGCTTTGAGGCCTATTGTGGAAAGGGAAATATCTTCAAATAAAAACCACCCAGAAGTACTCTGTGAAACTTCTTTGCGATGTATGCATTCAACTCACAGTGTTGAACCTATGTTTTGATTGAGCAGTTTGGAATCTCTCTTTCTGTAGAATCTGCAAGTGAATATTTGGAGCCCTATTTCGCCCTATACTGGAAAAGCAATTATCTTCAAATAAAAACTGCACAGAAGCACTCAGAGAAACTTCTTTGTGATGAATGCATTCATCACACAGAGTTGAACCTTTGTTTTGATTTAGCAGTTTGAGACAATCTTTCCGTAGAATCTTGAAGTGAATATTTGGAGGGCTTGGAGTTCTGTTTTAGAGAAGAAGATATCTTCATCAAAAACTACACAGTAGCTTTCCGAGAAACTTCTTTGTGATGTGTGCATTCAACTATCGGAGTTGAACCTATCTTATGATTGAGGAGTTTGGAAACACTCTTTGTAGAGTCTGCAAGTGGATATTTACAGAGATTTGAGGCCTATTGTGGAGAAGGAAGTATCTTCACATAAAAACCACACAGAAGCACTCTGAAAAACATCTTTGGGATGTGTGCATTCAACTAACCGTGTTGAAACAATGTTTTGATTGAGCAGCTTAGAATCTCTCTTTTTGTAGGAAATGCAAGTGGATATTTGGAGCCCCATTTCGCCCTATGGTGGAAAACGAAACATACTCACAAAAAAGCTGCAGAGAAGCATTCTGAGAAACTTCTTTGCGATGTTGGCATTCAACTCACAGAGTCGAATCTATCTTTTGATAGAGCAGTTTTGTATCTCTCTTTTTGCAGAATCTGCAAGTGGATATTTGGAAAGCTTTGAGGCCTATTGTGGAAAGGGAAATATCCTCAAATAAAAACTACCCAGAAGCACTCTGTGAAACTTCTTTGTGATGTGTGCATTCAACTCACAGTGTTGAACCTATGTTTTGATTGAGCAGTTTGGAATCTCTCCTTTTGTAGAATCTGCAAGTGAATATTTGGAGCCCTATTTCGCCCTATACTGGAAAAGCAAATATCTTCAAATAAAAACTACACAGAGGCATTCAGAGAAACTTCTCTGTGATGAGTGCATTCATCACACAGAGTTGAACATTTGTTTAGATTTAGCAGTGTTGAGACAATCTTTCCGTAGAATCTTGAAGTGAATATTTGGAGGGCTTTGAGACCTGCTTTGGAGAAGGAGATATCTTCATATAAAAACTACACAGAAGCTTTCTGAGAAACACCCTTGTGAGGTGTGCATTGAAGTCACAGAGTTAAACCTATCTTTTGATTCAGCAGATTTGAATCTCTCTTTTTGCAGAATCTGCGAGTGGATATTTGGAGTGCTTGGAAGCCTGCTGTGGAAAATCAAATATCTTCACAAAAAAAACTACACAGAAGCATTCTGAGAAACTCCTTTGTGATGTGTGCATTGATCTCACAGAGTTGAAAGTTTATTTTGATTGAGCTGTTTTGAAACACTCTTTTTCTAGAATCTGCAAGTGGATAATTGGGGAGATTTGAGGCATATTGTGGAAAAGCAAATATCTTCATATAAAAACTATACAGAAACCTTCTGAGAAACATCTTTGTGATGTGTGCATTCAGCTCACAGAGCTGGACCTAACTTTTGAGTGACCAGTTTTGAATCTCTCTTTTTGTACAATATGCAAGTGGATATTTGGAGCGATTTGAGGCCTACATTTGAAAATCAAATATCTTCCCTTAAAAACTACACAGAAACATTCTCAGAAATTGTTTGTCATGTGTGCTTTCCAATTACCAAGTTGAACCTATCTTGTGATTGAGCAGTTTTGAATCTCTCTTTTTGTGGAATCGGCAAGTGGATATTTTTAGCCCTTTGCGGACTGTGGTGGAAAAGGAATTATCTTCAAATCAATTCTACACAGAAGCATTCAGACAAACTTCTTTGTGATGAGTGCATTGGTCACACAGAATTGAACCTTCCCTTTGATTGAGCAATTCTGAAACACTCTTTTGGAGGGTCTGCAAGTGGATATTTTAGAGCTTTGGGACAACTGTGGAAAAGTAAATATCTTCACATAAAAACTACACGGAAGCATTCTGAGAAACTTCTTTGGAGGTGTGCATTCAACTCACAGAGTTGAACCTATCTTTTCATTGAGCAGTTTTGAATCTCTCATTTTGTAGACTCTGCTCGCAGATATTTGGAGAGCTTTGAGGCCTATTGTGGAAAAGGAAATATCTTCACATAAAAACACACAGAAGCACTCTGAGAAACTTCTTTGTGAGGTGTGCTTTCAACTCACAGAGTTGAACCTATCTTTTGATTGAGAAGTTTTGAATCTCTCTTTTTGTAGAAGCTGCATGTGGATATTTGGAGACGTTTGTGGCCTATGGTAGAAAAGGAAATATCTTCAAATAAAAACTAGACAGACGCATTTTGAGAAAATTCTCTGTGCTGTGTGCATTCATATCACATGGTTGAAACTACCTTTGGATTGAGCAGTTTTGAATCTCACTTTTTGTACCATCTGCAATGGATATTTGGAGCCCTTTCTGGTCTGTGGTGGAAAAGGAACTATCCTCAAATAGAAACTACACAGAAGTACTCTGAGAAACTTCTTTGTGATGTGGGCATTCATCTCACAGAGTTGAACCTTTGGTTTGATTGAGCAGTTTTGAGACAATCTTTCCATAGAATCTGGAAGTGAATATTTGGAGAACTTTGAGATCCATTTTGGAGAAGGAGATATCTTTATATGAAAACTACACAGAAGCATTCTGAGAAACATCCTTGTGAGGTGTGCACTGAAGTCACAGAGTTGAAACTGTCTTTTGATTCAGCAGTTTTGAATCTCTCTTTTTGCAGAGTCTGTGAGTGGATATTTGGAGCGCTTTGAGGCCTACTGTGGAAAACCAAATATCTTCACATAAAAACTACACAGAAGCATCCTGAGAAACTTTTTTTGTGATGTGGTCTTTCAGCTAATGGAGTAGAAACTATCTTTTGATTGAGCAGTTTTGAATCTCTCTTTTTGCAGAATCTACGAGTGGATAATTGGAGAACTTTGAGGCGTACTGTGGAAAATCGAATATCTTCGCATAAAAACTACACAGAAGCATTCTGAGAAACTTCTCTGTCATACGTACATTCATCTCACAGGGTTGATCCTATTTCATGATTGAGCAGTTTTGGAACACTCTTTTTGTAGAATCTGCAAGTGAATATTTGGAGCTCTTTGGGGCCTACTGTGGAAAAACAAATATCTTCACATAAAAACTACACAGAAGCATTCTGAGAAACTACTTTGTGATGTGTGCATTCATCCCACAGAGTAGAACCTTTCTTTTGATTGAGCAGTTTCGAAACACTCTTTTGGTGGAATCTGCAAGTGGACATTTGGAAAGCTTTGAGGCCTATTGTGGAAAGGGAAATATCTTCAAATAAAAACCACCCAGAAAGTACTCTGTGAAACTTCTTTGCGATGTACGCATTCAACTCACAGTGTTGAACCTATGTTTTGATTGAGCAGTTTGGAATCTCTCTTTCTGTAGAATCTGCAAGTGAATATTTGGAGCCCTATTTCGCCCTATACTGGAAAAGCAATTATCTTCAAATAAAAACTGCACAGAAGCATTCAGAGAAACTTCTTTGAGATGAATGCATTCATGACACAGAGTTGAAACTTTGTTTTGATTTAGGAGTTTTGAGACAATCTTTCCGTAGAATCTTGAAGTGAATATTTGGAGGGCTTGGAGTTCTGTTTTAGAGAAGGAGATATCTTCATCAAAAACTACACAGAAGCTTTCTGAGAAACTTCTTTGTGATGTGTGCATTCAACTATCGGAGTTGAACCTATCTTATGATTGAGCAGTTTGGAAACACTCTTTGTAGAGTCTGCAAGTGGATATTTACAGAGATTTGAGGCCTATTGTGGAAAAGGAAGTATCTTCACATAAAAACCACACAGAAGCACTCTGAAAAACATCTTTGGGATGTGTGCATTCAACTAACCGTGTTGAAACAATGTTTTGATTGAGCAGCTTAGAATCTCTCTTTTTGTAGGAAATGCAAGTGGATATTTGGAGCCCCATTTCGCCCTATGGTGGAAAACGAAACATACTCACAAAAAAGCTGCAGAGAAGCATTCTGAGAAACTTCTTTGCGATGTTGGCATTCAACTCACAGAGTCGAATCTATCTTTTGATAGAGCAGTTTTGTATCTCTCTTTTTGCAGAATCTGCAAGTGGATATTTGGAAAGCTTTGAGGCCTATTGTGGAAAGGGAAATATCCTCAAATAAAAACTACCCAGAAGCACTCTGTGAAACTTCTTTGTGATGTGTGCATTCAACTCACAGTGTTGAACCTATGTTTTGATTGAGCAGTTTGGAATCTCTCCTTTTGTAGAATCTGCAAGTGAATATTTGGAGCCCTATTTCGCCCTATACTGGAAAAGCAAATATCTTCAAATAAAAACTACACAGAGGCATTCAGAGAAACTTCTCTGTGATGAGTGCATTCATCACACAGAGTTGAACATTTGTTTAGATTTAGCAGTGTTGAGACAATCTTTCCGTAGAATCTTGAAGTGAATATTTGGAGGGCTTTGAGACCTGCTTTGGAGAAGGAGATATCTTCATATAAAAACTACACAGAAGCTTTCTGAGAAACACCCTTGTGAGGTGTGCATTGAAGTCACAGAGTTAAACCTATCTTTTGATTCAGCAGATTTGAATCTCTCTTTTTGCAGAATCTGCGAGTGGATATTTGGAGTGCTTGGAAGCCTGCTGTGGAAAATCAAATATCTTCACAAAAAAAACTACACAGAAGCATTCTGAGAAACTTCTTTGTGATGTGTGCATTGATCTCACAGAGTTGAAAGTTTATTTTGATTGAGCTGTTTTGAAACACTCTTTTTCTAGAATCTGCAAGTGGATAATTGGGGAGATTTGAGGCATATTGTGGAAAAGCCAATATCTTCATATAGAAACTATACAGAAACCTTCTGAGAAACATCTTTGTGATGTGTGCATTCAGCTCACAGAGTGGACCTAACTTTTGAGTGACCAGTTTTGAATCTCTCTTTTTGTACAATATGCAAGTGGATATTTGGAGCGATTTGAGGCCTACATTTGAAAATCAAATATCTTCCCTTAAAAACTACACAGAAACATTCTCAGAAATTGTTTGTCATGTGTGCTTTCCAATTACCAAGTTGAACCTATCTTGTGATTGAGCAGTTTTGAATCTCTCTTTTTGTGGAATCGGCAAGTGGATATTTTTAGCCCTTTGCGGACTGTGGTGGAAAAGGAATTATCTTCAAATCAATTCTACACAGAAGCATTCAGACAAACTTCTTTGTGATGAGTGCATTGGTCACACAGAATTGAACCTTCCCTTTGATTGAGCAATTCTGAAACACTCTTTTGGAGGGTCTGCAAGTGGACATTTTAGAGCTTTGGGACAACTGTGGAAAAGTAAATATCTTCACATAAAAACTACACGGAAGCATTCTGAGAAACTTCTTTGGAGGTGTGCATTCAACTCACAGAGTTGAACCTATCTTTTCATTGAGCAGTTTTGAATCTCTCATTTTGTAGACTCTGCTCGCAGATATTTGGAGAGCTTTGAGGCCTATTGTGGAAAAGGAAATATCTTCACATAAAAACACACAGAAGCACTCTGAGAAACTTCTTTGTGAGGTGTGCTTTCAACTCACAGAGTTGAACCTATCTTTTGATTGAGAAGTTTTGAATCTCTCTTTTTGTAGAAGCTGCATGTGGATATTTGGAGACGTTTGTGGCCTATTGTAGAAAAGGAAATATCTTCAAATAAAAACTAGACAGACGCATTTTGAGAAAATTCTCTGTGCTGTGTGCATTCATATCACATGGTTGAAACTACCTTTGGATTGAGCAGTTTTGAATCTCACTTTTTGTACCATCTGCAATGGATATTTGGAGCCCTTTCTGGTCTGTGGTGGAAAAGGAACTATCCTCAAATAGAAACTACACAGAAGTATTCTGAGAAATTTCTTTGTGATGTGTGCATTCATCTCACAGAGTTGAACCCTTGTTTTGACTGAGCAGTTTTGAGACAATCTTTCCATAGAATCTGGAAGTGAATATTTGGAGGGCTTTGAGTTCTATTTTGGAGATGGAGATATCTTCATATGAAAACTACATAGAAGCATTCTGAGAAACATCCTTGTGAGGTGTGCACTGAAGTCACAGTAGTTGAAACTGTCTTTTGATTCAGCAGTTTTGAATCTCTCTTTTTGCAGAATCTGTGAGTGGATATTTGGAGCGCTTTGAGGCCTACTGTGGAAAACCAAATATCTTCACATAAAAACTACACAGAAAGCATTCTGAGAAACTTCTTTGTGATGTGTGCATTGATCTCACAGAGTTGAAAGTTTATTTTGATTGAGCTGTTTTGAAACACTCTTTTTCTAGAATCTGCAAGTGGATAATTGGGGAGATTTGAGGCATATTGTGGAAAAGCAAATATCTTCATATAAAAACTATACAGAACTTTCTGAGAAACATCTTTGTGATGTGTGCATTCAGCTCACAGAGCTGGACCTAACTTTTGAGTGACCAGTTTTGAATCTCTCTTTTTGTACAATATGCAAGTGGATATTTGGAGCGATTTGAGGCCTACATTTGAAAATCAAATATCTTCCCTTAAAAACTACACAGAAGCATTCTCAGAAATTGTTTGTCATGTGTGCTTCCTAATCACCGAGTTGAACCTATCTTGTGATTGAGCAGTTTTGAATCTCCCTTTTTGTAGAATCTACAAGTGGATATTTTTAGTCCTTTGTAGACTGTGGTGGAAAAGAAATTATCTTGAAATCAATTCTACACAGAAGCATTCAGACAAACTTCTTTGTGATGAGTGCATTCGTCACACAGAGTTGATCCTTTCCTTTGATTGAGCAACTCTGAAACACTCTTTTAGAGGGTCTGCAAGTGGATATTTTAGAGCTTTGGGACAATTGTGGAAAAGTAAATATCTTCACATAAAAACTACACAGAGGCATTCTGAGAAACTTCTTTGTGAGATGTGCATTCAACTCACAGAGTTGAACCTATCTTTTCATTGAGCAGTTTTGAATCTCTCTTTTTGTAGACTCTGCTTGCGGATATTTGGAGAGCTTTGAGGCCTATTGTGGAAAAGGAAATATCTTCACATAAAAACACACAGAAGCGTTCTGAGAAACTTCTTTGTGAGGTGTGCATTCAACCACAGAGTTGAACCTATCTTTTGATTGAGCAGTTTTGAATCTCTCTTTTTGTAGAAGCTGCATGTGGCTATTTGGAGACGTTTGTGGCCTATGGTGGAAAAGGAAATACCTTCAAATAAAAACTAGACAGACGCATTTTGAGAAAATTCTCTGTGCTGTGTGCATTCATATCACATGGTTGAAACTACCTTTGGATTGAGCAGTTTTGAATCTCACTTTTTGTACCATCTGCAATGGATATTTGGAGCCCTTTCTGGTCTGTGGTGGAAAAGGAACTATCCTCAAATAGAAACTACACAGAAGTACTCTGAGAAACTTCTTTGTGATGTGGGCATTCATCTCACAGAGTTGAACCTTTGGTTTGATTGAGCAGTTTTGAGACAATCTTTCCATAGAATCTGGAAGTGAATATTTGGAGAACTTTGAGATCCATTTTGGAGAAGGAGATATCTTTATATGAAAACTACACAGAAGCATTCTGAGAAACATCCTTGTGAGGTGTGCACTGAAGTCACAGAGTTGAAACTGTCTTTTGATTCAGCAGTTTTGAATCTCTCTTTTTGCAGAATCTGTGAGTGGATATTTGGAGCGCTTTGAGGCCTACTGTGGAAAACCAAATATCTTCACATAAAAACTACACAGAAGCATCCTGAGAAACTTTTTTTGTGATGTGGTCTTTCAGCTAATGGAGTAGAAACTATCTTTTGATTGAGCAGTTTTGAATCTCTCTTTTTGCAGAATCTACGAGTGGATAATTGGAGAACTTTGAGGCGTACTGTGGAAAATCGAATATCTTCGCATAAAAACTACACAGAAGCATTCTGAGAAACTTCTCTGTCATACGTACATTCATCTCACAGGGTTGATCCTATTTCATGATTGAGCAGTTTTGGAACACTCTTTTTGTAGAATCTGCAAGTGAATATTTGGAGCTCTTTGGGGCCTACTGTGGAAAAACAAATATCTTCACATAAAAACTACACAGAAGCATTCTGAGAAACTACTTTGTGATGTGTGCATTCATCCCACAGAGTAGAACCTTTCTTTTGATTGAGCAGTTTCGAAACACTCTTTTGGTGGAATCTGCAAGTGGACATTTGGAAAGCTTTGAGGCCTATTGTGGAAAGGGAAATATCTTCAAATAAAAACCACCCAGAAGTACTCTGTGAAACTTCTTTGCGATGTATGCATTCAACTCACAGTGTTGAACCTATGTTTTGATTGAGCAGTTTGGAATCTCTCTTTCTGTAGAATCTGCAAGTGAATATTTGGAGCCCTATTTCGCCCTATACTGGAAAAGCAATTATCTTCAAATAAAAACTGCACAGAAGCACTCAGAGAAACTTCTTTGTGATGAATGCATTCATCACACAGAGTTGAACCTTTGTTTTGATTTAGCAGTTTGAGACAATCTTTCCGTAGAATCTTGAAGTGAATATTTGGAGGGCTTGGAGTTCTGTTTTAGAGAAGAAGATATCTTCATCAAAAACTACACAGAAGCTTTCTGGGAAACTTCTTTGTGATGTGTGCATTCAACTATCGGAGTTGAACCTATCTTATGATTGAGCAGTTTGGAAACACTCTTTGTAGAGTCTGCAAGTGGATATTTACAGAGATTTGAGGCCTATTGTGGAAAAGGAAGTATCTTCACATAAAAACCACACAGAAGCACTCTGAAAAACATCTTTGGGATGTGTGCATTCAACTAACCGTGTTGAAACAATGTTTTGATTGAGCAGCTTAGAATCTCTCTTTTTGTAGGAAATGCAAGTGGATATTTGGAGCCCCATTTCGCCCTATGGTGGAAAACGAAACATACTCACAAAAAAGCTGCAGAGAAGCATTCTGAGAAACTTCTTTGCGATGTTGGCATTCAACTCACAGAGTCGAATCTATCTTTTGATAGAGCAGTTTTGTATCTCTCTTTTTGCAGAATCTGCAAGTGGATATTTGGAAAGCTTTGAGGCCTATTGTGGAAAGGGAAATATCCTCAAATAAAAACTACCCAGAAGCACTCTGTGAAACTTCTTTGTGATGTGTGCATTCAACTCACAGTGTTGAACCTATGTTTTGATTGAGCAGTTTGGAATCTCTCCTTTTGTAGAATCTGCAAGTGAATATTTGGAGCCCTATTTCGCCCTATACTGGAAAAGCAAATATCTTCAAATAAAAACTACACAGAGGCATTCAGAGAAACTACTCTGTGATGAGTGCATTCATCACACAGAGTTGAACATTTGTTTAGATTTAGCAGTGTTGAGACAATCTTTCCGTAGAATCTTGAAGTGAATATTTGGAGGGCTTTGAGACCTGCTTTGGAGAAGGAGATATCTTCATATAAAAACTACACAGAAGCTTTCTGAGAAACACCCTTGTGAGGTGTGCATTGAAGTCACAGAGTTAAACCTATCTTTTGATTCAGCAGATTTGAATCTCTCTTTTTGCAGAATCTGCGAGTGGATATTTGGAGTGCTTGGAAGCCTGCTGTGGAAAATCAAATATCTTCACAAAAAAAACTACACAGAAGCATTCTGAGAAACTTCTTTGTGATGTGTGCATTGATCTCACAGAGTTGAAAGTTTATTTTGATTGAGCTGTTTTGAAACACTCTTTTTCTAGAATCTGCAAGTGGATAATTGGGGAGATTTGAGGCATATTGTGGAAAAGCAAATATCTTCATATAAAAACTATACAGAAACCTTCTGAGAAACATCTTTGTGATGTGTGCATTCAGCTCACAGAGCTGGACCTAACTTTTGAGTGACCAGTTTTGAATCTCTCTTTTTGTACAATATGCAAGTGGATATTTGGAGCGATTTGAGGCCTACATTTGAAAATCAAATATCTTCCCTTAAAAACTACACAGAAACATTCTCAGAAATTGTTTGTCATGTGTGCTTTCCAATTACCAAGTTGAACCTATCTTGTGATTGAGCAGTTTTGAATCTCTCTTTTTGTGGAATCGGCAAGTGGATATTTTTAGCCCTTTGCGGACTGTGGTGGAAAAGGAATTATCTTCAAATCAATTCTACACAGAAGCATTCAGACAAACTTCTTTGTGATGAGTGCATTGGTCACACAGAATTGAACCTTCCCTTTGATTGAGCAATTCTGAAACACTCTTTTGGAGGGTCTGCAAGTGGATATTTTAGAGCTTTGGGACAACTGTGGAAAAGTAAATATCTTCACATAAAAACTACACGGAAAGCATTCTGAGAAACTTCTTTGGAGGTGTGCATTCAACTCACAGAGTTGAACCTATCTTTTCATTGAGCAGTTTTGAATCTCTCATTTTGTAGACTCTGCTCGCAGATATTTGGAGAGCTTTGAGGCCTATTGTGGAAAAGGAAATATCTTCACATAAAAACACACAGAGAAGTTAAAAAAAGAAGTAAAATGAATGACCATGCTATTTTCAGGCAACTTTCCCCAATGATTATATATAACTTAACCTAGTACGTTGCCAAAATCAGGAAATTGACATTCTTTCCATACCATTAACTCAGGTTCAGACCCTATTCATATTTCTAAGGATTTTACATGTACAGATGTGTTTGAATGTATGTGTGATGTGTGTGTACCTTCACATAGAAACTACACGGAAGCATTCTGAGAAACTTCTTTCTCACAGAGTTGAACCTATCTTTTGATTGAGAAGTTTTGAATCTCTCTTTTTGTAGAAGCTGCATGTGGATAGTTGGAGACGTTTGTGGCCTATGGTAGAAAAGATAATATCTTCAAATAAAAACTAGACAGACG